>NC_000005.10:26065396-26368426 GCF_000001405.40 Homo sapiens | reverse complement strand
ACACCCCCAGTGGTCCACTTTCCCAGTGCTGACTCACGCAGCCCTACTCACGAGAGAACTCTTTGACCCTCACGGGACCTGAGACTAGCATAGGTAGCTGCCTAGGGACTGTGCAATAGCCCTGCTCCAGAGAGGGAGCTCATGATAGGTCCCACATGCAGCCTGAGTCTTAAAAGCTGCAGGACAGCAGTATTTTTAGAATCCATGACCCACCAAACTGCAACCTGTCCTAGGGCCCAACTGCCCCTGCATATCATCATCCTTAGACCTCCACTGACATTTCCCACTATGTACTATGGCCCCGCTGCTAGGGGTATTGGGTTGCTATGAGTGGCAGCAGCCGCAGGTAGGCACTTCTCCAGCTTCAAGGTGTGTGAACTTTGGCCCTTGGCCATGGTGGCAAAAGGACAACAGTGCTATACCTAGTAAAGCCACTTCCCAGGTCATGCGCAAATACCTCGCCACCCTGCCGTTGAATGGGGTGGAGACACTGACAATGGCTCACACTTTAGCCTCTGGTGGAAGCAACAGTGGCAGCCGGAGCAGGCTGCAGCATGTGAAACTGGATGGATCCAGTGGAGTGTCAAGGTCTTTAGGGCTCTAGCACACACGGTGTCTAGCACGCTGGGGAATAGGTAGTACAGTGCACAAGAGAGGCTTTTCCCAAAACAAAAAGAGGCAAAGTTGCACCTGTACACAACTTGGAGCCTGAGAACTATCTGTCTTGGATGCCATCTACAGGCATCAACCCTGCTCTCTCAGCAGCAGTGCTATGTCACAGACCTTAAGGACAGACACTAATGGTGCCTACTAGAGCTACTGCTGTTGTTGCCACCAGAAGCCAAAGCATGACCCATTGGCAGTGACTCTGCCTCCTTCCGAGTTAGGGTGGCCATGTACGTTCACATGCCCTAACGATTGATTTACAGGGTGCAGACTGTGCTGCTGCCTTTGTGACCACTGCTGGGGGCCAAATTGCATATTCTGTGGAGCTTGAGAACCACCTATCTGCAGCTGCTGCCACTTACAGTAACCTTATACCCCTAGTGGCAGAGCCACAGTGTATTGCACATAACCTGAGGACAGGCTATCCCCATCCATCACCACCACCGACACCCCCACCTGATCATTTCACTGGGGGGCCTAGAGATCACGCCTCCATTTCCAACCACAATTAGTGCCTACAGGTAATACCAGGGGGCCTGAGGACAATTCCTGCAGCCCAACTCTGCTCTCCCCCAGTCCATGAGCACACCATCCAAGGGCTTGGGAATTGCCCTGCCCAGTCCATGACTGCTGCCCAGTGGTCCATATTTATCTCACTGCTGCCAACATGAGGGCCCAATGACTGGCTCATCTGGTGTCATAGTTCTCAGCATAACTTTACCAAAGCCTCCACTAATAATCACACTCTAAACTACTGAGGAAATCACAGACACCACGGGACATGTTTACAAGCAAAGAAATCACGTGGCGACTAAACTTCTGTTTGGAGGCAGCATCGAAACCAAAGTGACCTATGCAATCAACATTGTAGATACAACTTTGGGGAAAATTCCTGCCCTATGAAGGCAAATCCAACAAACTGCAAGAAGTGAATGTTACACCAGATGGTTAGATATCAATGTAGAGATGCAGAAAAATGCAAAAGCAAGAGAAATATAATAAATCTAAAGGGATATATTCCAATGAAAATAAATTTATAAAATCCCAGGAAAATAATTTTTAGAATTCTTAAAACAGATATTAAAGAAGCTAATTGAGAAAAAGTGTGTTGTATAATACACTTAAAAAGACAAATAAATCAGAAAAAAAACCAGGATATGAATAACCTATGAAAGAGACAGGTATAAAATTAACAGATCTTAAATTCTGCAACTGACGAATTCACTGAATGAAATACAAAATACGTGCAAAACCTTCACCAATAGACTAGATTACACAGAACAAAATAATTGAGAACTAAAAGACAGGTATTTAAAAATAAACTAGTAAGACATAAATTTAAAAAAGAAATAAGAAAGAATAAAGCATATTTGAGATATAGGACACCAGAAAGTGGCCAAATGTTTGAATGTCTGATGTCCCAAAAGTTGAAAATAATACAAAAGGAATTAAAAATAAAGGAAAATTTTACAAGTCTACAATGAGACTTAGATATCCAGATATAGGAAGCTCAGATATACTCAAATAGATAAAATTCAAAAAAAGCCTTATCCATAACACATTATAAACTGTCAAAAAGTCAAAAACAAAGATAGAATTCTAAGAAAAGCAAGAGGAAATTGTCTAGTTATATAAAAGGATACCCTAATCAGATTAACAGCAGATTTCTCAGCAGAAACCTTACAGGCCAGGAGAGGACGGGATGATATATTAAAGTGTTGAAAAAAAAAAAAACCACCAACCAAGGATACGATATGTAGCAGTTACCTTTTATAAATAAAGACAAAATCTTTTCCAACATGCAAAATGTAAGGGAATTAATCACCATTAGATCAGACCTAAAAAAGTATTTAAAGGAGTCCTAAATCTGGAAGTAAAAGGCTGATACCATGAAAACACATGAAATTATAAAACCCACTGGTACAGCAAAAAACAAATAAGGAAGATAAAGATCTCAAATGTTGCCATTCAGGAAGCTGCCAAATCACAATGATAAACAATTGGAGAGAAAGAAAAGGATAAAGGACATACAAAACAACCAGAAATTAATTAATAAAATTACTCAAATAAATCCTCACATATTTTATTAGTCCATTTTCATGCTGCTATAAATATACTACCTGAGACTGGGTAATTTATAAAGAAAAGAGATTTAATTGTCTCAGTTCTGCATGACTGGGGAAGCCTCAGGGAACTTACAATCGTAGCCGAAGACAAAGAGGAAGCAAGATTTCTTCAAAAGGTGGCAGGAGAGAGAGAGTGTATGGGGACACTGCCACTATTAAAACCATTAAATCTCATGGGAACTCCCTCACTAACACATTGAGGAACAGCCACCATGATCCAATCACTTCCCACCAGAGGGATCCCTCAACACGTGGAGATTACAATTGTAGATGAGATTTGTGTGGGAACACAGGACCAAACCATATTATTCTATCCCAGACACCTCTCAAATATCATGTCACTCTCACATTTCAAAACACTATTATGCCTCCTCAGGAGTCCCCCAAAGTCTTAACTCATTCAAGCATTAACACAAAAGTCCAAGTTCAAAGTCTCATTTGAGACAAGGTAAGTCCCTTCCACCTATAAGACTGTAAAACCAACAAGTTAGTTACCTGAAGATACACTGGGGGTACAGGCACTGGGTAAATATTCCAATTCCAAATGGGAGAAATTGGCCTAAACAAAGGGACTACTTGCTGGGCATGGTGGCTCACGCCTGTATTCCCTGCACTGTGGGAGGCCGAGGTGGGCATATCACGAGGTCAAGAGATCAAGAGAATCCTGGCCAACATGGTGAAACCCTGTCTCTACCAAAAATACAAAAATTAGCTGGGCATGATGGCACATGTCTGTAGTCCCACCTACTTGGGTGGCTGAGCCAGGAGAATTGCTTGAACCCAGGAGGCAGAGGTTGCAGTGAGCCCAGATTGCACCATTTGGACTCCAGCCTGGTGACACAGCGAGACTCTGTCTAAAGAGAAAAAAGACCATAAACAAACAAACGAAAAAAAAAACAAAGGGACTACAGGCCCATGCAAGTCCAAAATTGAGTGGAGTAGTCATTAAATCTTAAAGCTCCAAAATGATCTCCTTTGACTGCATGTCTCACATCCAGGTTATGCTGATGCAAAGGGTGGCCACATTTCCCCCACTGCATTGCCCTAGTAGAGGTTATTTATTAGGGCTCCTCCCCTGGAACTGACTTCTGATTGGACAGCCAGGCATTTCCATACATCCTCTGAAATTTAGGTGGAGGTTCCCAAACCTCAACTCCTGTCTTTTTTTTGCACCAGCAGGCCCAACACTATGTGAAGCAACCCAGGCTTGGGGCTTGCATGCTCTGAAGCAACAGCCCAAGCTATACCTTGGCCCTCAGAATAGTGGATCTCTGGGCTCAACCCATGAAAGCATTTTTTTCTTCTAGGCCCCCAAGTCTGTGATGGCAACGTCTGCCACAAACATCTTTGACATGCCCTGGAGACAATGTCCCCATTGTCTGGGCTACTAACATTTGGCTAATTGTTACTTTTGCAAATTTCTGCAGCAGGCTTGAATTTCTTCCCGGAAACTGAGTTTTTCTTTTCTACCATATGGTCAGCTGCAAATTTTCCAAACATTTATGCTCTGCTCCCCTTTTACACATAAGTTCCAGTTTAAGATTAACTTTGTGAACACATGTAACTGTACTATTTCAGATAAAACCAGGTCATCTCTTGAATGCTTTGCTGCTTAGAATTTTTTTCTTCCAGATACCCCAAATCATCTCCCTGAAGTTCAAAGTTCCACAGATCTCTAGAGCAGGGGCAAAATGCTGCCAGTCTCTTTGTTAAAGCATAGAGTGACTTTTGCTCCAGTTCGCAGTGAGTTTCTCATCTCCATTTAAGAGCACCTCAGCCTGAATTTTATTGCCCTTATCACTATCAGCATATTGGTCACAACCATTCACCAGGTTTCTGGGAAGTTTCAAACTTTTCCACATCTTCCTGTCTTCTTCTGAGCCCTCCAAACTGTTCCAACCTGTGCCTGTTTACAGATTTCCAAAGTTGCTTCCACAGGTTATCATTATAGCAGTGCCCCACTCTCTGTGGTACCAAGTTTCTGTATTAGTCTGTTATCACAATGTATGGATACTACCTGACACTTGTTAATTTATTTTAAAAAAGAGGTTTAATTGACTCACAGTTCCACAGGGCTTGGGAAGCCTCAAGAAACTTATAATTATAGCAAAAGGTAAAGGGGAAACAAGGACCTTCTTCACAAGGTGGCAGGAGAGAGAGAGAGAGCTCAGGGAAACCTGCCACTTTAAAAACCATCAGATCTTGTGAGAACTCTCTCACTATCATGAGAACAACATGGGGGAACCTTCCCCATGATCCAGTTACCTCTCACCAGTTCCGTCCCTCAACATGTGAGGATTATAATCTGAGATGAGATTTGAGTGGGGACAAAGAATCTAATCATATCACGTATCAATAATAATGTTGAATGTGAACAGATTAAATTTTTCACTACAAATATATAGACTGGTTAAATGTATTCTAAAAATGACCCAATTAGGTGGGGCCAAGATGGCCGACTAGAAACGGCTGCAGGCAGAGTGTCCCACCAAGAAGAACTAAAACAGCATGTGAATCCTGCACTGGCAACTGAGGTATCAAGTTTCTTTCAATCATCAGGACTGACTAGGCAGTTGGTGTCACCAACGAAGAGCAAGGAAAAGCAACATGGGGCATTAGCCCACCTGAGAGCCACATGGGGCATTGGGAGCCTCCATCCCAGCCAGAGGAGGTGGTGAGTGATTGTGCTACCCAGCCTGGGAAACCGTGCTTTTTCCATGGATCTGTGCAACCCATGGATCAGAAGATCCCACTCATGAGCCCACGCCACCAGGGCCTTGAGTCTCAACCAGAGATCTGCACAGATTCTCAACAGCCACTATGCTGAGGACTGCCAAAGACTACCGAGTTCCAAGGGGGAGGGGTGGTCATCATCACTGTGGTTGCCTGCTGCCTAAGATGACTGAGCTGCCCAGGGGAGGGGAAGCCATAATCACTTAAGCTGCCTCCTGCCTAAGATGACTGAGCTCCCAGAGGGGAAGGGCAGCAGCCATTACTGCAGCTTCAGTCCACGTTTTTTCCCCTGCTGTTTCTGGGGAGACTGAACAGTTTGGACCCAAGAGATATTCCCCACAGCACAGTCCACTGGCTGCGGCAGATCGTTGCCAGACTGCCTCTTTAGGCTGGACCCTGACCCATCCCTCCTCTCTTGGCAGAGCATCCCTGCAGCAACTCCAGCCATGGGTTGAGAGACAGAATTCTGATATCCTTGGGACTGAGCTCCTAGGGGTATGGGTGGCCATGGTCTTTGGGGACCAGCAGACTTGCTCTTTCCCCATGCTGGGTCTGAGAAATCCAGGCAGCCTAAACAAGTGGGTTTTGTGCCAGCGCAGTACATCCCCTTCACCAAGGGGCAACCAGAGTGCTTCGTTAACTGGGTCCCAAGTCTTGTGCCCCCTACTTGGTGAGACCTCCCCAACAAGAGTCAACAGACACCTTATACAGGAGTGTTTCTGCTGGCATCAGGTTGGTACTTCTCAAGGACAGAGATAGCAGAGGAAGGAGCAGGCACACATCTTTGCTGTCCTCCAGCCTCCTCAGGTGACATCTCCAGGTGCATAAGGGACCCAGGTAAATAGGGCCTGAAGTGAACCCCCAGCATACTGCAGCAACCCTACAGAAGAGGCACCTGATGGTTAAAAGAAAAAAAAAAAAAAACAGAAAGTAACTAAAACAGCATCAACAAGAGTCCCCACAAAAAAAACCAATCTAAAGGTCAGCACCCTCAAAGATAAAAACTAGACCAACACTGGTGTGTGCCTGTAGTCCCAGCTACTCGGGAGGCTGAGGCAGGAGAATTGCTTGAGCCCGGGAGGCAGAGGTTGCAGTGAGCTGAGATCACGCCACTGCACTCCAGCCTGGTGACAGAGTGAGACTCCGTCTCAAAAAACAAACAGAAGAAACAAACAAAACAAACAAACAAAAAACTAGACCAACACATGAAAATTAGAAAGAATCAATGAAAAAACACTGAAATCTCAGTAGTCCAGAATCTCTTTTCTTCTCCAAATGATCACAACACCTCTCCAGCAAGGGCACAGAACTGGGTGGAGGCTGAGATGGATGTATTGACAGAAGTAGGCCTCAGCAGGTGGTTAATAACAAACTTTGCTGAGCTAAAGAGGCATGTTCTAACCCAATGCAAAGAAGCACAGGACAATGATAAAAGGTTACAGGAGCTGTTAACTAGAATAATCTGTTTAGAGAGGAACATAAATGACCTGGTGGAGCTGAAAAACACAGCACAAGAACTTCGTGGTGCAAACACAAACATCAATAGCCAAATCAATCAAGTGGAAGAAAGAATATAAGAGTTTGAAGACTATCTTGCTGAAGTAAGGCCAATAGACAAGATTAGAGAATAAAGAATCAAAAGGGACAAACAAAACCTCCAAGAACTATGGGACTATGTAAAAAGACTGAACCTATGACTAACCGGAATACCTGAAAGAGACAGGGAGAATGGAACCAAATTGGAAAACACACTTCAGGATATCTTCCAGGAGAACTTCCCCAACCTAGCAAGACAGGCCAACATTCAATTTCAGGAAATCCAGATAACCCAAATAAGATACTCTATGAGAAGCTCAACCCCAAGACACATAATCATCAGATTCTCCAAAATTGAAATGAGGGAAAAAATGTTAGGGGCAACCAGAAAGAAAGGCCAGGTCACCTACAACGGGAAGCCCACCAGACTGACAGTAAATTATCAGCAGAAACCCTACAAGCCAAAAGAAAGTGAGGGTCAATATTCAACATTCTTAAAGAAAAGAATTTCCAACCCAGAATTTTATATACAGCCAAACTAAGCTTTATAAGCAAAGGAGAAATAAACCCTTTTCAACCACCAAATGTTAAGGGAACTCATCACCCACCAGGCCTGCCTTGCAAGAGCTCCTGAAGGAAGTACTAAATATGAAAAAAGAGGTACCAGCCACTGCAAAAACACACTGAAGTACAAAGACCAATGACATTATGGAGAAACTGCATCAACTAGTCTGCAAAATAACCAGCTAGCATCATGAAGATGAAGACAGGATCAAATTTACACATAATAATATCAACATTAAATGTAAATGAGCTAAATGTCCCAATTAAAATACACAGACTGGCAAATTTGATGGAGTCAAGACCCACTGGTGTGCTGTACTCAGGAGACCCACATCACATGCAAAGACACATAGGCTCAAGATAAAGGGATTGAGGAAAATAAATAGAAGGCAGACAAAAGCAGGGATTGCAATCCTAGTTTTTGACAAAACAGACTGTAAACCAACAAAGATTAGAAAAGACAAAGAAGGGCATTATAAAATGGTAAAGGGATAAATTCAACAAGAAGTGCTAACAATCCTAAATATATATGCAACCAATACAGGAGCACTCAGATTCATAAAACAAGTTCTTAGAGACCTATAAAGAAACTTACACCCTCACAAAATAATAGTGGGAGACTTTAACACCCCACTGTCAATATAAGACAGGTTATTGAGACCAATATTCCTAATGAACATCAATGCAAAAATCCTCAATACAATATTGGCCAACAATATCCAGCAGCACATCAGAAAGCTTATCCACCACCATCAAGTTGGCTTCATTCCTGGGATGCAAGGCTGGTTCAACATACACAATCACTAAATGTAATTCAGCACATAAACATAACTAAAGGCAAAAATCATATGTTTATCTCAATAGATGCAGAAATGGTCTTCAACAAAATTCAATATCCCTTCATGTTAAAAACTCTCAATAAACTAGATATTGATGGAATATATCTAAAAATAGTAAGAGCCAGTCATGACAAACCCACAGCCAATATCATAGTGAATGGGCAAAAGCTGGGAACATTCCCCTCGAAAATTGGCACAAGGCAAGTCTATTCAACATAGTATTGGAAGCTCTGTTGAGGGCGATCAGGCAAGAAAAAGAAATAAAGCATATTTAAATGGAAAGAGAGGAAGTCAAACTGTTTCTGTTTGCAGACAACATGATCCTATATCCAGAAAACCCCACAGTCTCAGCCCCGAAGCTCCTTAAGCAGGTAAGTTACTTCAACAAAGTATTAGGATACAAAATCAACCTGCAAACATTATATGCATTTCTATAAACCAACAATAGACAAGCAGAGAGACAAATTTGAATGAACTCCCATTCACAATTGCTACAGAGAGAATAAAATACCTAAGAAAACAGCTAACAAGGGATGTGCAGGACCTCTTCAAAGAGAACTACAAATCACTGCTCAAGGAAATAAGGACACAGACAAACAAATAATAATAATAATAATAATAAACTATTCCATGCTTGTGGATAGGAAGAATCAATATCATGAAAATGGTCCTACTGCCTGCAGTAATTTATAGATTCAATGCTATTCTCATGAAACTACCATTGGCATTCTTCACAGAATTAGAAAAGAAAAACTACTTTAACATTCATATGAAACCAAAAAAGAGCCAGTATAGCCAAGACAATCCTAAGCAGAAAAGCAAAGCTGGAGGCATCATACTACCTGACTTCAAACTATATTACAAGGCAACAGTAACAGAAACAACATAGTACTGGTACAAAAACAGACACACAGACCAATGGAACAGAATAGAAATCTCACAAATAAGACCATATATCTTCAACCATCTGATCTTCAACAAACCTGACAAAGACAAGTAACAGGGAAAGGATTCCCTATTTTATGAATGGTTCTGAGAAATTCGGATAGTCATATGCAGAAAAGTGAAACTGGACCCATATATCTTATATAAAAATTAAGTCACGATGGATTAAAGACTAAAATGTAAAACTAAAACTATGAAAATTCTAGAAGAAAATTTAGGCAACACTATTCAGGGAATAGGCACAGACAAATATTTCATGACAAAAACATCAAAAGCAATTGCAATAAAAGCAAAAATTTACAAATGGGATCTAATTAAAGAGCTTCTGCACAGCAAAAGAAACTATCATCAGAGCAAACAACCTATGGAATGGAAGAAAATTTTTGCAATCTATCCATCTGACAAAGGTCTGATATCCAGAATCTACAAGGAGCTTAAACAAATTTATAAGAAAAAACAAACAATCCCATCAAAAAACAGGCAAAAGACATGAATAGACAATTCTCAAAAGAGGACATTTATGCAGCCAAGATACACGAAAAAAAATCTTGACATCACTGATCATGAGAGGCATGTAAACCAAAATCAAAAAGTCAAGAAACAACATATGCTGGTGGGGTTGTGGAGAAATAGGAATGCTTTTACATTGTTGGCAGGACTGTAAATTTGTTCAACCATTGTGGAAGACAGTATGATGATTCCTCAAGGATCTAGAACCAGAAATACAGTTTGACCCAACGATCCTATTGCTGGGCATGTACCCCCAAAATATAAATCATCCCATTACAAAGATACAGGCTGAGCATCTTGGCTCATGCTTGCAATATCAGCACTTTGGGAGGCTGAGGCAAGTGGATCAATTGAGGTCAGGAGTTTGAGACCAGCTTGGCCAACATGGGGAAAAACCCCATCTCTGCTAAAAATACAAACATAGCCTGTTATGGCAGTAGGCTCGTGTAATCTCAGCTACTCAGGAGGCTTAGACAGGAGAATCACTTGAACCTGGGAGACGGAGATTGCAGTGAGCCAAGATCATGTCACTGAACTCCAGCCTGGGTGACAGAACAAGAAGACTCCAACTGAAAAAGAAAAAAAAATAGATACATGCATATGTATGTTTATTGCAGCACTATTTACAATAACAAATACATGAAATCAACCCAAATGTCCATCAATGATAGACTGGATAAAAAAGATGTGACACATATACCACATGGAATACTATGCAGCTATAAAAAGAAACAAGATCATGTCCTTTGTAGGGACATGGATGTAAGAGCTGGAAGCCATTATCCTCAGCAAACTAACACAGGGACAGAAAACCAAACAGCACATGTTCTCACTTATAAGTGGGAGCTGAACAATGAGAACACATGGACACAGGGAGGGGAACAACATCCACTGTGTCCTATCAGGAGGGTAGGGGGAGAGAGTATCAGGATAAATAGTTAATGCATGTGGGACTTATTACCTGGGTGATGGGTTGATAGGTGCAGCAAAGCAACATGGCACACGTTTACCTCTGTAACAAACCTGCACATGCTGCATATGTATCCCAAAACCTTAAATTAAATTAAATTAAGTTAAAAAAAAGAAAGAGGCAGGGATGAAAGAAGCAATTTTAACTTACTCCTTTTATCCCACCCATCAAAGTAAAGACAAGTTTACCTTAAGTTTTCTTAAGAAAAAAAAAAACTACTGTATAGTACTTTACATTCTTGATAACTTTCAGATGGTTTTACTTGATATTTTAAATATTAAATAAAAATTGTTTGCTTATGTACCTATATGAATATATGCTGAAGATATTGAGTGGAGAAAGTTGTTAAATTCCAAATATATTTCCTTAAAGAAAATATTTCAATGAGCAGAATAAATGTAAGTAGATATATTACTGCAAAATCACTTATATTATTTCAGAGAACATGGAAATTGAGCTTAGTGTATTTTTATTAGTGTGAAGCAGAGTATTTAAAATTTCTCTCTTCTGCAATAAATAAATAAATAACCCAACTATATCCTGTGTACAAGAAAGTTATCTCACCTGCAGAGACACCTATAGACTGAAAGTAAAGAAAGTGACTATATTCCATGCAAAAAGAAACCAGGTATAGCTGTAATTATATTAAATAAAACAGACCTTAATAAAAATAGTGAAAAGGGAGAAAAAGGTCATGACATAATGATAATGGGATCAAATCCGCAAGAAGAAACAATTATTCTATACATATGTGCATCCAAAACCAGAGTATCCAGATATATGAAGTAAAGATTATCAGATTTAAAGAGAGAGAGTGATTCCAATACAATAATAGGGACTTCAGAACTCCACTGTCAGGATTAGATAGGTCATCTAGACAGAAAATTTTTTTTAAAAATGTTGAATATAAACTGTACTTTTGAGCCAATGGATCTAACAGACTTTTACAGAATATTTCATTCAATAGCTCCAAAATAAATATTCTTCTCACCAGCACATGAAACATTCTCCAAGATAGATATTTTAGGGACATAAAACACATCTTAAAAAATTGAAATCATATCAAGTGTCTTCTCAGACCACACTAGAATAAAACTAGAAATCAATAACAAGTAGAGCTTTGAAAAGTCTAAAAATACATAGAGATTAAACAACAGGCTCTTGAATAAACATGGGGCCAAGAAAGTAATTAAGGCGGATTTTTTCAATTCTTGAAAAAAAAATCTTAACATAACAAAACCTTTGGGATAGAGCAAAAGCAGTCTCAAGAGGGTAATTTATAGCAATAAATGCCCATATTACAAAAGTAGAAATATTTCAAATAAACAATCTAACAATGTACCTAAGGATCAGACCAATCCAAAAATTAGTAGAAGAAGAAGAAAAAAAAAAAGATCAGACCAGAATTAAATGAACAAAAGGCTAAAAAATAAAATAAAATAAAATAAAAGTGAATCAATGAAATGAAAAGTTTTTTCAAAAACATAAACAAAGTTAACACCAATTACACTAACCAAAAAGAAGACCTAAATAAACAAAATTAGAAAAGAAAAAGGAGAGATTATAAATGATAGTAATAAAAATGACAATCAGAAACTGTTATTAGCAATTAAACAATAACAAACTGTAAAACATAGAGGAAATGGATACATTTCTGAACCCATACAGCTAAACAAGATCGAGTCAAGAAAAAAAAGCTGAACAAACCAACAATAAGTAATAAGATTTAATCAGTAATAAAATTTTTCCCTTTCCAAAAAGAAGCCAGGACAAGATGCTTTCACTACCAAAGTCTACCTAACTTTCACAGAACTAAAACGAACTTTCCTTAATCTATTTCAAAAACTTGACCTAGAGGAAATTTTCTCTAACTCACTATATGAGACCAGCATTACCCAGATACCAAAAGCAAAGGCACAACAAAAAATATACTACAGACAAATAATACATTGATAAATACAGATATTAATATCATCAACAAAATACTAGTAAACCAAATCCAACAGTACACCAAAAAGTTATTATACCACGAACAAGTAGTATTCATCCTAGAGAGACAAGGAAGAAGTTTCAACATACACAAATCAATAAATTTGATATACCACATCAACAAAACCAAGGCCAAAACCCATAAGATCATCTCAATAGATGCAGAAAAAACATTCGATAAAGTTCAACATCATTTCATGATAAAAACTCCCAACAATCTATGTACTGAAGAAATATTACTCAACAAAATAAAGGTCCTATATGACAAAGCCAAAGCTAACATTAAGCTGAATGGGGAAAAGCTGAAAACCTTTTCTCGAAGAACAAAAATATGACAAGGATGCCCACTTTCACTATTCAACATAGTAGTGAAAGTCCTAATCAGAGCAATCAGGCAAATGAAAGTCATAAAAGATATCCATATTAGAGAAAAAGAAGTTGTCCTTCTTTGCTGACAATCTAATATAATGTCTAGAAAAACCTAAAACCTAAATAATATTCTACTGAAAACCTCTTAGATCTTATAAATAAGTACATTAAAATTTCAGTTTACAAACCAATATACAAAAATCAGTAGCATTCCTATACACTGATAACGAACTAGCTGAGAAATAAGAATAGACAATCCCTTTATAATAGCTACATAGAATAAATAAAACACCTAGGAATAATTTATACCAAGGATGTGAAAGACCTATTCAAAAACAACTACAAAACATTGATGAAATAAAACGAAAAAGACAAAGCAAATGAAAAGACATCCCATGCTCATGGATCAGAAAAATAAATGACCATACTACTCACAGCAAATTCCAGATTCAATGCAATTCCTATCAGTATGCCAATGTCATTTTTTACATAAATAGAAAAAAAAATCTAAAACTCACATGGAACCACAAAAAGCCTGAATTGCCAACACAATTCTAACCAAAAAGAACAAATGTGGAGGCTCACAATACCTGACTTCAAACTATATTACAAGGCTATGGTAAACAAAAGAACATGGTATTGGCATAAAAACAGACACTCTACCAATGGAAAAGAATAAAGAAACAAGAAATCCACATATTTACTGCCAACTGAATTTTAACCAAGGCACCAGGAATATATATTAAGGAATGACCATCATCTTTAATAACTGGTGCTCGGAAAAATGGATATCCATATGCAGGAGAATGAACCTAGATCCCATCTGTCACCATATGCAAAAATCAACTGAAAATGGATTAAAGCCTTTAAGACCCAGAACTATAAAACTATTTTAAAAATATATAAGAATTATTATAGGACATTGATCTGGGCAAATATTTTATAGCCAATACCTCAAAAGTACAGGCAATAAAAACAAAAATAGGCAAATGGGACTATATTAAACTAAAAACGTTCTGTATAGATAAAGAAACAATTAACTGAGTGAAGATAATCTGTTGTACAAGAAAAAAAATTGTAAGCTATTCATCTGAAAAGGGACTAATATCCAAAATATACAAGGAAGTCCAACAACTCAACATCAAAAAAAAAAAAGAAGAAAAATTCCATTAAAAAGTGGGGAAAGGACGTGAACAGACATCTCCCAAAAGAAGATAAATAAATGGCCAACAAGTATATGAAAAAATGCTCAATATTACTAATCATCAGAGAAATGCAAATAAATATCACAGTGAAATAATACCTTACATCAGTTAGAATGGCCATTATTAAATTGACCAAAATAAATAACAGGTCCTGGCAAAAATGAGGAGAAAAAGGAAATTATGTGCTGTTAGTGTGAATGTAAATTAGTACAGCCATTATGGAAAACATAGAAATTTTCCAAAATTTAGAAATAGAACCACCCTACAATTCAGCAATCCCACTGCTGGACATATATCCAGAGGAAAATGTATCAGTATATCAAAGGGGGACATGTACTGCCATGTTTATTGCAGGACTCTTCACATCAGCTAGCATATGATATCCAACTAAGTGTTCATCAATGGATGAATGGATAAAGAAAACGTCATATATGTACACAATGGAATACTGCTCAGGCATAAAAAGAAATAAAATTTTGTCACTTGAAGAAACATGGATGGAACCGGAGGTCATTATTTTAAGAGAAATAAACCAGGTGCAGAAAGACGAATATCACATGTTCTCACTCATATTTGGAAGCTAAAAAGTTGATCTCATGGAGGTAAATAGTAGAATGATAGTTATCAGAGGTTGGGAAGGGTGTCTTTGGGGTGGGGTGTGAAGAAACGTTGGTTAATGGGTACAAACTACAGTTAAATAAAAGGAATAAGTACCAATGTTTGGTAAGACGGTAGGTTGACTATAGTTAAAATTAATGGAATGTGTATTTCAAAATAGTTAGCAAAGAGAACTTGACATGTTCCCAACACATAGAAGTGATAAAAACTCATGGTGATGGATACTCTAGATAGCTTGACTTGATGATTACACTTTCTATGCATATAACAAAATACCACATGTACCCTATAAAATTGTACACATATTATATATCAATACAGATGTTTAAAATGCAACTAATGAATATGAGTCTCAGGAAAACCAAAGCAAATACTGAAGTAGTATACAAATATTGTAGTTAGAAAAAATACTGAAAGCTAACATTTACTACTTTTTTATTGTTGTTAAGTGAAGCTAAGTGTCGACAGGGCACACCAAATATTTTTTTTGCAGGAAGGCAAAAAGATCAAATCAATCAAAAAATAAAATGAAACAAAGAACAACTTAGGTCATCCTACATTTCAACATTAGTACTACATGTCAGAAGACAATGAAGTAACTTAAAGAGAGACTATGAGCCAAAGATATATACATACACAGTTACTTTTATATTTGAAGCCCACAGATATATTAGTATCAACATGAAGGGTTCACTCATAGAATAATTTATTTGAGCCATCCTGAGAATAAACTGACAGCCAAAGTGACTGATATAAAGGTTAACATAAGACTTTCAGAAAAATTATAAACCCTATTTAAAAGAAAGAGCAAAGGATTTTTTTTTTTTTGGTGGGGGGCGGGGGGTGGGGTGGGGGGAGCATGTCTCGCAGGCTGGAGTGCAGTGGGGCAATCTCCGCTCACTGCAAGCTCTGTCTCCCGGGTTCACGCCATTCTCCTGCCTCAGCCTCCCGAGTAACTGGGACTACAGGCGCCCGCCACCAAGCTCTGCTAATTTTTTGTATTTTTAGTAGAGACGGGGTTTCACCGTGTTAGCCAGGATGGTCTCGATCTCCTGACGTCGTGATCCGCCCACCTCGGCCTCCCAAAGTACTGGGATTACAAGTGTGAGCCACCGTGCCCAGCCTGCAAAGGATATTTTATAAAGTTGTTAGTATAAGCACAATTAGTATAAAAATACAAACCTTCACTAATAATAAAAAAATACTTTAAAAAGGACAGCACAAACGAGGACATAGTAAAAGACTATATTGACTTGATGGTAATAAAATGTAAATTTTATAACATAATTGAAATGTAAAAATATTAATTATGTTAATAAAATAAGTACTCTCAGTTGATCAATTAAATAAATATTTTCACATTTACTTTAAAATCTAATGCCATTCAGTATGGAAGGACACACTAAACAATTTTTGAAAGGTTAAACATAAAATAATGGTAAAATACATGCAAGATGCAAATAAACAAAAGTCAGAATGATACTCTTGATATTACACAAGGCAGAGTTGATACAGTCAATCATTAAATGAGATTTTTAAAAAGTTTTTTTTATGGTACAGGTTGCAAAAAAACACAGAAGTCTTATACAGTGAATATTAATAATTACTCATCTAAAAATCAGCACAGTCCTAATTTTCAGAAATCTGAAACTATAGGAGATGCAAGGGAAAAAAAAAAGCATAGGACCAATACATCTCTAAGACACAAAAACTGAACCAAAAGCTATATGGATAGAGAAGATCTAAACCACATAATAATAGATAAAGGAGACCTGTACATAACTATGGAACTTGTCCTTTGCTATGGTTAATTTTATGTGTCAACTTGACTAGGCCAACTTGTTCAGATAGTTGGTCAGACATTACTGTGCGTGTTTCTGTAAGAATGTTTCATGATTAAGATTAACATTCAAATCAATGGACTTTTGAGTAAAGTGAATTACCCTCCAAAATGTAGGTGAACCTCATCCATTCAGTTGAAGGCAGGAACAGAACAAAACAGGTCACTCTCCCTCAAATAAAATAACATTTTTTAGCCGAGAGCTCTCAGACTTGGCCTGGAATATTGGTCCCTCTGAGGCTTTAGACTGACAGCCTTTGGATTGAACTAAAGATGCCGCATCAGCTCCCCTGGGTCTCCAACATGCCAGCCTACCCAGCATATTTTGGACTTGTCAGCCTTCATAATTGTGCAAGCCTCTGCTTTATAATAAATATCTTTCTACATATAAACACATCCTTTTGATTAATTTTCTTAGGAGAACCCTACTAATATAGACTTGCAATTAAAGAGAGAATGCTTTTTTTTTACAGATCCACATAATATTCATAAACAAACAAACAAAAAATGGTTATATTTAAGTCCACAAATTAAACAGCCCACAAATATAGAATGGTATTGAGATAAAAGAAAGAATTCAAAGATGACTTCTGTGATCATAACATTTAACATGAAAGGTAGGAAGGAGACATTGGCAAAAGTAGTTGGAAGAACAATCTAGAGAGAGGAAGCAGGGTTAAAAATTCCCTTAAGTTGACCAAAAATAATCTCAACATATTTTAGAAGCAAAGAAAACTTGTGTGATTTGAACAGTACGAGAAAATGGGACACAGTGACATAAAATGATAAAGTTGGAGGCGTAGGCAAGGGCCAGAATACATAGGTCACGTGGGCATAATGTAACTTATTCCAAAACTAATCAGTAATCATAGGGTGTATAAATGGCCTGGGAGCAAGAGTCACTTGGTATTTAAAAATATATATATTGTAGATATTATTTGTTGAATTAAAGTAGGAAAATGAAACAGATACCAGGAATTAAGTCATAAGATATGGTGACTTGAGGAGATTAGTAGCAGTACACAGGAAGAGAACTGAACACATTGGAATTGTTTCAAAGGTAAGATCAACCAAGTCTACTAATTATTTAGGTATAGGGTTAAAAGTAAATCAAGAATGATACAGACATGTGCTTAGAAACTTGCATTGCAATTGTAGTAATTGACAAGGTAATCATAGTGGGCTGTGAGAGCGTTTGGAAAGGAGAGGTAACCAGAACTTAGGACAGCAGTTAATATTTCATGCAGCAAGAATTTATGAGCTAAACCTAAAAGACTAACAAAGAAGAGAAAACGATTACTCCAGCCAGTATATAAATTATTCCAGTATATGGATACCCAGAAAAAATATTGACTACTCTGCCATTAAAATTAAATTGGGTACAAGATAAGGCAGGCAAAGAAACCAGTTATGAAAGACCATATGAAGCATATTAAATAATTGGTGCATTATTCAGAAAGTAATAAACAGCTTTTAATTAACCTGGGGAACAATATGATCAGATTTGCTTTTCGAAAGACCACAGCAGCTGCCCTTAAAGAAATAGATACAAGAAAAACAATACTGGAGGAAAAATATAGTTAGACATTTGTTAGAGAAAACTAGGTAGAATAGCAGTGATCCAAATTAGGGTAAGGAATACAGATAAGAGGGAGAACTATGGGAGAAATCACATGACTTAGCCATTGATATGTGATAAATGCTATGGTTGTTTTATGAACCAAACTTCTTATCAGTTAGCCATTCATACTATGGAATCTATAAGAAAAATGACATAAAGTTTTGGGCCTGTTTTAAAATATGCTGGCTCAATTGCGAAACACAGAAAGTAGAACAAATAAAGTGGTAAAAAGGTTGATAAATCTTAGACATAAACAATAAGCACATGGATGTTTATTATACTTTCCCCTCCATTTTGGTTTTTGCTTTTACATTTCTCTTTAAAACATTTAAAAAGTAGATAATAAAAATAACCACAAATTTATAGAAACAAGCAAGGCTATTGATAGGTCTTACCTTTTGGTATTTTAGGAGTGGTATGTTGGGAGGATAATTTTTTACCCTGGAGTTGCAGCATAGTTATGGGATTTTTCTGCACACTTCGTAATACTGTCTGCCAGCTTTCAAACTGCACACTGTCTACAGTGGGCCTGGAAGCAGGAAGGAAAGATGCTTGTCCATACCACTCAATGATTCTGCTGCCTGTAATGACTGTGTGGGTGGTTCGTTAGAGAAAGGAGCCTGGGAGAATTTGGAAGTGAGGTGAGCTTTTCCAATCATAGTTGCAATAACTTTCAGTTTTTACGATGCAAATTCATAAAAGTTTTTGATAAGTGTCTTTCCCTGAATAGATACATGATGTTTCAAAAAAAATTAAGGATTAGAGAATCTGTGTGCCTATAATCAAATTGTCACTATATTATATCTCCATAACTATGTGCAGTTAAATAAATAAGAACATGTAAGTAAACTAGGTTATTGGCCTCTGGTACTATTTAAAATAAGTGCTATTACTCCGATGCTTGCTTACTCATATTACTAGATATGATGAGAGAAAATCTTTCTATGCAGTCTAATTTCCCAAGTGCTAATTTTCAGTTTCTTTTTACCATAACAAAGTAGAAGTGGGAGGAGGTTAGATGGAATATATCCTGTCCAAAAAAGAAAAAAATACCATGAATTTTACTATTTTCAAAAATGTACATACAAATCTACTGCATTTTAAGGAGTAAAAGATTAAAACACAGATATCAGAAATATGTAGATTTTACCAATACATACATTACATTTTACCTATACATTAATATCACATATTACTCTCCTCATATTTTACATAGTGGACATACTCATATACATAAAATGTAACAGATGGGGTCTGAAAACAAAGTTTATAGTTACATTAAAATAAGGTGTTAAAATTATTATATGAAATATTTGAGTAAAGATAGAAAAATATTGACATTTTTATTCTAGTCTTTATTTTCCAAAAACATGCATAATAAAAAATTTTTAAAAATCTTCATATTAAACTGAATTATAAAAAAAATAGAGCATACATTTTACTAATATATATCAAATATGTAAATTTAAATAAAATTAAGATAAAGCTAACTGAAATGATCGTGAAAAGGTAAAGAATAGCATAACTAGAGAAACTTTCAGGTTTTCAGGTTAGACGGTCATGGAAAATAGAAGGAGCGTTCCTATTCTGACCCATTACTACATCAGAGATATATAACAGGGGTAACATGTCCTTTTTCTTCCAAACCAAGAAAAATGGCCTGGAGGTGAGATCATGAGAGTAAAGAGATCAAGTGTCAGTGACTTTGTAAATGCTTTCTAGAGTCAGTTGAAGCATGATAAATGCACTATACATCAGTAAAGAGAGCACTCTGGCTAGTTTAAAGGCATATGAGCTCTCACCTAGTAGATAGGCTCATCCCAAAAGGAATTCTCAAAATTCAGGGAGACATATGGCTTCACTGGAAGAAGACACACATGATGAGAGAGAGCTAGTCAAACACATTGTTTTCAATTAAACCCAGCTGGTAACTTTTCTTTCCCCAAGATACTTTCTCAAACTCAAATATTTTTGTTGAACAAAGAGAGATAGAGACAAGCCTTTTGATACTTAAATATTAATATTAAGCAGGAAAGAACATCCATGCACAGATGTTACAAAGAAAATTTAATGAGTAAAAATATTCAAAACGTGGTAGATGAAAAATATGAAACAGAGAAAGAAATGTTCAGAATTCTGAACAAAATTTCAAGCAGATAATTTATCTAGCTTCAAATATTATGAGGAAAAATATTTTATAAAAACATCTAAGTAGGATTTGAAAGAAAAGATATATAATTATTAAAGAGAGTAAATGAGATAAAACGGCATTGGAGGATTCAGTAACTATATGAAAGATTCACCTATTAACAAATTAAAGCCATTTAGTCACAGAAAGAAACAGAACAGACTTGGCTAAAAATAAATTCATGAATGTAAAGGATATGTTTTAGGGCCGGGTGCAGTGGCTCACACCTGTAATCCCAGCACTTTGGGAGGCCGAGGCAGGGAGATCACTTGAGGTCAGGAGTTGGAGAACAGCCTGGCCAACATGTTGAAAACCCATCTCTACTAAAATAATAATAAAAAAAATTTAGCCGAGCGTGGTGGTTCACACCTGTAATCCCAGCTACTCGAGAGGCTGAGGTAGGAGAATCACTTGGACCTGGGAGGTGGAGGTTGCAGTAAGCCGAGATTGTGACACTGCACTCCAGCCTGGGTGACAGGGCAAGACTCCCTCTCAAAAAAAAAAAAAAAAAAAAGTTTTAGAAAATGACACAAAAATGAAAATAAAACAGATAAAATTATTGAAGAAAAATGACAGCTATATTCAGACAAATATAGAAATTCCATAAATATAATTGAAATTCCCAAAAATAGATTAATACTAAATAATATATAAAAATAGTTTAAGATCCAATAAAAATAAAACTTTCTTAGGTAAAGAAATGTAATGTGCAACTATATTTTCTAAATGAAATTAAAATCAAATTATAATCAATTAGAGTACATTTAATAAAGGTTTAAATTTAGAAAATAGTTCTTGTATCTCACAATGAAGGCAAAGCTCTAAAAAGATAGAATATATTCTTTTGGCCTTTTAGGTTTCTGTAGTGACATTTAAGGCCAAAAACCAAGAGAGAATGTTAATAACATGTGAAACCAGAAGACACCTATAAGAAACATGTATACAATATATTTTGAAATTCAATAGAAAAGAAAATAAATTATTTCAAAATTGTTTTATGAAGTTAGCATAACAACATTGTAAAAATAAGTGGAAGTGAAACATCTGTTAATGTGTATGCATATGGGCCACAAACAAAATATGCTGCTGGTTAATTTTCTGATATTTTAAATTATTAATTTTGTTAATGAATAAGAAAAACTCTGTGACATGTTTAGCCCACCTCCATTGGGAAATTGTATGTTCATTTTACGCTGGTTAATAAGTATAATAATTTTGTGACATATAGTGTTATGAACTGAATTTTGCCTTCCTCTTCCAAATTCATGTGTTGAAATCCTAACATTCAGTTCCTCAGAATGTGACTGTAGTTAGAGATATCCTGTTTACTTTGAAGAGGTAATTAAGGTTAAATACTGTTATTGGAGTGCACCTAATCCAGTATAATTAATATCCAAATATAAAAGAGTTTAAGACACAGAAAACTACAGAGAAAAGAAGACGTGATGACCCAGGGGGAAGACAGACATTGCCTACTCAAGGAAAGAGTCCTCAGAGAAAACTAACCTTGTCAAAATGTTGGTTTGATTTCCAGCCTGAAGACCTGTGAGAAAATAAATTTCTGTTGCTTAACGCACCCAGTGTTACTTTGCTATCATAGCCCTAGCAAATTAATACATGTTAATAATAATAATATCTATTACTATTATAATTAGAAAACAGAATACAACTGAACTTTAATTATGGAAATTGTTCTCATCGTGCATAAATAGTTTATGTTAACATGTTTGTAATGCAATTAAACATTATAATTTCAAAGAAAAATTAATATCGCACAGCAATACATTTCATAAGACTATCTGAAAAATTCTCCAATCATTTCTGTAAAATTAACTAAATCAAATAGAGTGAATTGATAGTTACTTATTTTTTATCAGCACTCACCATCATAAACAAAGATAAGAACACTAAAAATCTTCCTACTGAACCTAAAAAGGCACTTGTGTTTGCTACAACTAGTGCAAATGAATATATATATATATATATATGTATATATATATATATGTAGTTTAAGAACTTGCCAATATAATTGTTTAAGAAACATAAACTCATTTCCTGCATTGATACAACCCAAAGGATAATGGAAACTAATGAGGCATTAGACTACTTAAAAATTAAAGTAAAAAAATAACATCACTTAAATATTGCATAGTGTTGCAAAAGGGAATGACAAAACAAAAGATACTGGCCTATTTTCTTTAATATTTAAACAGATCGAGTATATGAATGTTTTGGATAAAAATATAAATAAATGTGAGAAAAGAATGAAGATGTGAAATAGAATTAGAAAGTGAATTAAAATTTTATATTTTTGCAAATATGTGGATTAAAACCCAAATTTATTACAAGAAAATTATATTAAAGAATACTGACATGCCATTTGTAACCTATCACATTATGAGTAATTTAAACTTCTGAAAATAAAAATTATTGGTAAGAGTTTCAGAGTAGTGCTATATTTTTCAGATGTCAATTCTGCAAAATTTATGAAAATTAACAATGCATGAATCTTCCAGAAAATTATTTTTCAGTGTTTTAACTGGGTGCAAAATTCATCCAGCTGACAATGGAATCTATCCACAGTCATTCATACAGTATTATGCATTCTTCTAATATAATGCTATGTTTTTATAAATAATGATATGAAGAAATTCAAAGATAAGTCAATAAGTAAAGAAGAAATACTACATGCATACTAACATAATACACATTAATTTCGACTACAATTCCAGTTTCTAATTCTTCATGTAAGTGTAATACAGCAAGGGAAATTTTCAGAAAATAAGATCAGAAAGTTGTGAGAGGACAGATAATGGATGGCAATCTACAGTGAAATAAGAGTTTTGGACTTGGGTATTTTATTTCAGGAGTAAAAGGAAGTCTTTGAGGATAGCAAGCAAGGAGATGTAATCTAATTCAAGGTGTAAATGCATCACTCTGGCTAGGTACATACACACACACACACACACACACACACACACAATCTGGTTAATATAGAATGCACTGTTACGTGAAAAACAAAGAAAATGTTGGCTTTCTGTCTATTCCTGTCTCTTCCTTTTTCCCTTTTACATGAACATGTATTTCTTTTATTAAAAACAAAGATATTTTAAATAATACTTTTAAGATGATATAGAAGGATATAGAGTATTAATACCTCTCTTCACACTTTCCTCTACTGGCAATTTTCCTGTCTACTGCCAATTTTCCTGTATTTTTTGTGTGTTTATATATGTATACATGTGAGGATTATACAAGCTTACCATAAAAATAGCATTTTTTAAATTTAGAAATATTCTGGAAATATTTTCACATTAGTGGCT
The DNA here is from genome assembly GCF_000001405.40 of Homo sapiens. Taxonomy (NCBI): domain Eukaryota; kingdom Metazoa; phylum Chordata; class Mammalia; order Primates; family Hominidae; genus Homo; species Homo sapiens. Next base: position 26,344,384 of record NC_000005.10, on the reverse strand, counting down.
GTGAATTATGCCAACATATGACATTTAATTTAGCAATTCTCTTTTAAATAGACTGCTTAAAAATTAAAGAGAAATGTTTCATTTTGGATAATGTTAGGGGCCAACTCGTGTTCCTCCAAAATTCTTATGTTGAATTTCTAACCCCCAGTATCTCAGAATGTGACTGCAATTGGAGAATGGCCTTTGAAGCCATGAGGGAAAATGAGGTCATTTGGGTGAGAGCTAATCCAATGTGACTGGAGTCTTTTTAAGAAAAGGCAATTAGAAAACAGACATGTACATACACAGAAGAAAGTTCATGTGGGGACACAGAGAGAAGGCAGCCATGTGCAAGTCAAAGAGAGAGGTGTCAGAAAAAACGTTCCCTGCCAACATCTTGATCTTCTAGACTTAGTAGCTGGGAGGAAATATATTTCTGTTGTTTAAGTGCCCTAGTTTATTGTCATTTGTTATGGGCAGCCAGCCCTAGCATACTAACACAGGTAAATATTTAGGTTGCTTCAGTTTTTTCATGTTTAATAACCCCTTAATCTAACATACCATGTACACTCATCTTTGCGCATCAGGCTTTTTTTTTTTTTTTTAAGATACATTCACACAAGAAGGATGAATGGATCAAAGAGTGTTTGATCATTTTAAATGTCAACAGGGACCATGAAATAATTTACAAATTGTGTTTGTAATAATTTTTTCTTATACAGGAATACAATATAAACATTCTTATTTACTCAGATAAGGATTGCTTTTAATAAAAAGTACAATTGGGAAAATGCTTTGAGAATTAGTGGAATTTGTGTACTATTTTTCCCATCCTCAATTGTATTATAAGCCTTATTAAGTTAATCATATTTATATTATTTTATTTCATCATGATATAAATTTAATTATATATACAAACCAAAGGAGGAAAATGAAACAAGAGCTAAGGGTTTACTATGTGCTAAACCTGATCCACAGCTATTATCTTCCTTGAGTTTAATCATTAGATAAGGAGATTGTTATTATTATTATTAAACCAATTTTACTGTAAACAGAATTGAGGCAAAGAGGCTGAGTGGCTTACTTAAAGCAATATAATTATTAAAGCTAGATCTCAGATTTGTGCCCAAGTGTTTTACTCTAGGTTCTCTCTAGGTTCTGAATGCTTTATTCTTTTTTTTTTTTTTGAGATGGAGTCTTGCTCTGTCACCAGGCTGGAGTGCAGTGGTACGATCTCAGCTCATTGCAACCTCTGCCTCCTGGGTTTAAGTGAGTCTCCTGCCTCAGCCTCCCAAGTAGCTGGGATTACAGACATGTGCCGCCATGCCCAGCTAATTTTTGTATTTTTAGTAGAGACGGGGTTTCACTATGTTGGTCAGGATGGTCTCAATCTCTTGACCTTGTGATCTGCCTGCCTCAGCCTCCCAGTGCTGGGATTACAGGCATGAGCCACCATACCCGGCCTGAATGCTTTATTCTTAAACCATATTTCTTCTGAATATAAAAGGGTTCCATTAAGGTGGACACTTAAGCAGTTAGTGGTTGAAATCATATAACAGGACATTTAGAAATTATTATTATAGTGTCAGTTTGAAGCAGGAAGTGATCAAAGGAAATAGTGCATCTAAAGTGGTAAAACTTGGGTGGGCAGTGGCTCACACCTGTAATTCTAGCATTTGGGGAGGCCGAAGTGGGTGGATCACCTGAGGCCAGGAGTTGAAGACAAGCCTGGCCAACATGGTGAAAACCCGTCCTTACTAAAAATACAAATATTAGCTGAGCATGGCTGCATTTGCCTGTAGTCCCAGATGCTCAGGAGGCTGAGGCAGGAGAATCGCTTGAATCTAGGAGATGGAGGTTGCAGTGAGCCGAGATCACACCACTGCACTCCAACCTGGGAGACAGAGCAACAGATTCTATTTCAAATAATTAAATAAACAAATAAATAAATAAAGTGGTAAAACTTTTAGCTCCTTTATAATTTTAAGTTTAGTTATCCATTGTTAACATAATTGCTACTGTTTTACTAATTATATAAGTATATGTCACATAAACAAGATAACTGCAATATTGCAAAACAGCTCTTGCAATATGTATGTGTGTAGATCTATGTAATGAGTCATGTATATATCATAGGTATATACATATATACTAATTTTCTATTGCTTGTGTAACAAATTAACACAAAGTAAGCTTAAAAGAAAGTAAATTTATTCTCATATAATTCTGGAGGACAGAAGTCTAACATCAAGTTGTTGGCAGAGCTGCATTCCTTCTGAAGTCTGGAGCAGAGAATTTATTTCCTGTTTTTTCTTCAACTTCTCTAGAAGCTGCCTATATTCCTTGGCTTGTGGCCCGTTCCTTACAGCACTTCAACCTCTTGCTTCCGATGTCACATCTTCTAACACTGACTTTGATGTTCTTGCTTCACTCCTGTAAAGACCCTTGTGATTACATTGGGTCCACCTGCATAACTGTGATAATATCCTCATCTCAAAATCCTTAATATAATCATATCAGCAAAGTCTCATTTGCCGTGAAAGACAATTCACAGGTTCTGCTGATTAGAATATGGACGTTTTTCTCCCCCACCCCTCAAACATAAAATAAAGTTTTCTTAATTTTCATTCTAGATGCCACGACGTTTATGAGAGATGCTTCTGTTCTATAGGTTGGTTTTGTGATTATGTGACTGCATGTTATCATTTAATATGTATTTTTCTCACTTTTTTGTTCTTTATTGTTTTTATTCAGCAATTGAAGTTGGCTTGTCATAGGATATGTTTTCTAATTACACATGTTCTTCATTGTATTTATCCCTTAAATAGGATTCTTAGCACTTATGTCATTTCCTCCTGCCTTAATTTGGGAGGTTCACATTTGATATGGTTTGGCTGTATCCCCACAAAAATCTCATCTTGAATTCCCATGTGCTGTGGGAGTGACACAGTGGGAGGAAATTGAATCATGGGGGCAGGTTTTTTTCATGCTGTTCTCATGACAGTGAATGAGTCTCACGAGATCTGACGGTTTTAAAAATGGAAGTTTCCCTGCACAATTCTCACTCTCTTTGCCTGCTACCATCCATGTGAGATGTGCCTTGCTTCTCCTTGCCTTCCACCATGATTATGAGGTTTCCCCAGCCATGTGGAACTGTAAGTCCATTCAACCTCTTTCTTTTGCAAATTGTCCAGTCTCAGGTAGGTCTTTATCAGCAATGTGAAAATGGACTAATACAACATTCTATTTCTATTCTTTATACAGCTTCTCTTTTATATGTTTTATCAGTCATTTAAAATTTATGCATTTCTTTCAACATAAAGATTTCTCAGACCTCCAGCCAAAATGGTAAGTGGACTTCTCATAAATAGGACGAACAGATCTGGGGCTATGAATACTTCATGGGAGAAGGAAAAAGCACCCTTATTTTACATCATAGAAAGGTAAGGAAGGAGAGTTTGGAGATGGAATGTTTCTGAAGAGCTCTTTTATTTTCTATGACCTATTTCTCTCTTTAGGCAGCCCAAAGCAGTGGGGAGGGCAAAGGGAGCGACCATCAACTCACAACAGATAGAGTCTATGTAAAGGCTTAGTTTGAGGGCCAATTAGGCCATTGAATTTAATAATGTTAAGGTGAATGTGCTTATTAACAATGATAGTATTAATTGCTTGTTTGAGGGGACAAAGAATTAAGATGTGTGAACTAATTCAGCTCATGATTTCTACAGTCAATCTTAGTTAAATATTGTGACAATGTAAAATACTAGAAAAAACATAGAATCCTTTTTTTTTTTAACAAACCAAACTGAAAAAAGATTGCATGTTTAAATTAAAAAAGTCAAAATAAAAAGTTGGTATTTGTTTGGATTTTTATAAACGGCAATCTTAGGTATTCTGCCATTCTTTGTCTACTAAAGTGTTGATTACATGCAGAAAAGGTATGTACCTCAAAAGGTTAATTCCAACATTGTTTGCATAAGAGAAATCAAAACTGAAGAAAATATTTAATACCCATCACTAGGCTACATGTTATGGCATATTATGAGGTAGTTAAAACATAAAAATCAGATTCATACCTTCCTCTCAGATGGCTCATAATGTGAAGTAATGTAGTCTCTCAATTTTTAACTTAAAAGCAGTTTCCACAAAAATATAATTTTTAAGTTATTCTTCAATAAATAATTATTGTAAAGCTTTCTGCAAGGCTTTTTAGTTTTCTGATCTGAGTTTTATGGTAACTTTCATTAATATTTATTAAACATTTAACCCTTAATATTCAATGATATTTAAAACATTTATTTATAAATACACCTTAAAAATATATATCCAGAATTTTCTTTTTTAAAGATTGTATAGTATTTCATTGTGTCTATAGACCAATTTTATTCATTCATGTATGACAACATGGATAAAACTGGAGGACATCTGATATAGTTTGCCTCTGTGTTCCCACCCAAATCTCATATCAAATTGTAATCCCCAAGTGTTGGGGAAGGGTCCTGGTGGGAGGTAATTGGATCATGGGGGCAGATTTTCCTCTTGCTGTTTTCATAATAGTGAGTGAGTTCTCATGAGATCTGATGGTTTAAAAGTGTGTTTCACTTCCTCTTTCATTCTCTCTTTCCAGCTTTGCCATGGTAAGACATGCTTGCTTTCCCTTCATCTTCTGCCATGACTGTACAGCCTGTGGCCTCCTAGCCATGCTTCCTGTACAGCCTGTGGAACTGTGGGTCAACTAAACTTCTTTTCTTCATAATGTACCCGGTCTCAAGTAGTTCTTTATAGCAGTATGAGAACAGACTAATACAGAAATTGGTACTGAGAGTGAGGTACTGATATAAAGATACCTGAGAATGTGGAAGCAGCTTTGGGACTGGGTAATGGGCACAGGATGGAACAGTCTGGAGGGCTCAGAAGAAGACAGGAAGATGTGAGAAACTTTGGAACTTCCTATAGACTTGGTTGATGGTTGTGATATGGACAATGAAGTCCAGGCTGAGGTGGTCTCGGATGGAGATGAGGAACTTACTGGGAGCTGGAATAAAGGTCACTCTTGCTATGCTTTAGCAAAGACACTGGCAGTATTTTGCCCCTGTCCTGGAGATCTTTGGAACTTTGAGCTTCAGGGAGATGATTTAGGGTATCTGACAGAAAACATTTCTAAGCAGCAAAGCATTCAAGAGGTGACCAGGCTGTTTCTAACAGTGTACAGTCATGCATTCACAAAGAGACAATCTGAAATTGGAACTTACTTATGTTTAAAAGGAAAGCAGAGAATAAAAGTTCGAAACACTTGCAGCCTGACCAGGTGGTGAAAAAGGAAAACCCATTTTATCGGGAGAAATTCAAGCCTGCTGCAAAAATTTGCATAAGCAAAGAGGAGCCAAATGAAAATCACCAAGACAGTGGGGAAAATGTCTCCAAGTTGTGTCAGAAAGCTTCATGACAGCCCCTCCCATCACAGGCCTGGAGGCCAAGAATGGAAAAATGGTTTTGTAGGACAGGCCCAGGGCCCTACTGCTCTGTGTAGCCTCAAGACTTGGCACGCTGTGTCCCAGCTGCTCCAGCTCTAGCCATGGCTAAAATGGGATAAGATATGGTTAGGGATGTTGCTTCAGAGGGTGCAAGCCCCAAGCTTTGGTGGCTTCTTTGCAGTATTAGGCCTGCAGGTGCACAGAAGGCAAGAGTTGAGATTTGGGAATCTCCACCTACATTTCAGAGGATGTATGGAAACATCTGGATGTCCAGGGTAAAGTCTGTTGCAGGATGGAGCCCTCATAGAGAGCCTCTACTAGGGCAGTGCAGAGAGGAAATGTGGGAGCCCCCACACAGAGTCCCCACTGGGGCACTGCCTAGTGGAGTTGTGAGAAGAGGGCCACTGTCCTCCATAACCCCAAATGGTAGATCCAAAGACAGCTTACACTGTGTGTTTTGAAAAGCCACAGGCACTCAATGTCAGCCTGTGAAAGCAGCCTATGCTGACTGGACCCTGCAGAGCCACAGTAGTGGAGCTGCCCAAGGCCTTGGGAGCCCAGCCCCTGTGTCATTGTGGCCTGCATGTGAGACATGAAGTCAAAGGAGATCATTTTGGAGCTTTAAGATTTATAGACTCCCCTGCTGAGTTTTGGACTTGCTGGGGGCCTGTAGTCTCTTTGTTTTGGCTGATTTCTCCCTTTTGTAATGACAGTATTTACCCAATTTCTGTACCCCCTTTGTATCTTGGAAGTAACTAAGTTGTTTGATTATTTTACAGCCTCATAGGTGGGAGGGAATTGCATTTTCTCAGATGAGACTTTGGACTCGGACTTTTGAGTTAATGCTGAAATGAGTTAATATATTAGGGGACTGTTGGAAACGCATGACTGGTTTTAGAATGTGGAAAGAAATGAAATTTGGAATGGGCGAGGGGTGGAATGATATGCTTTGGCTCTATGTCCCCACTCAAATTTTACGTTGAATAATAATTATCAATGTTGGAAGAGGGCCTGATGAAGGTGATTGGATCATGATGGCGGATTTTCCACTTGCTGCTCTCATGAAATTGAGTGAGTTCTCATGATATCTGATGGTTTAAAAATGTGTGACACCTCCGCCTTTGCTCTCTCTCCTGCTCTGCCATGGTAAGAGATACTTGATTCCCCTTGCTTTTTTCCATGAGTGTGTTTTCTGATGCCCCCCCATGCTTCCTGTACAGCCTGTGTAACTGTGAGTCAATTAAACTTCTTTCTTCATAAATTACCCGGTTTCAGGTAGTTCTTTGTAGCAGTGTGAGTACGGACTAATACAATATTATGCTAAGTGAAACAAGCCAGGCACAGAAAGACAAATATGTATAATCTCACTTATATGTGGTATCTAAAAAAGTCAGTCTCATAGAAACAGAGTAGAAAAGTCATTTCCAGAGGCTGTCTGAGAGTAAGAGGGATAGGGAAAGAGAAAATGTTGATCACAGGCTACAAAGTTTCAGTTAGACTGTAGGAATACATTTCAGTAATCTATTGCACTGCATGGTGACTACAATTCATAGTAATTTTCAAATATTCTTAGTAAATTGTATATTTCAAAATTGCTGAAATAATATATTTTTAACATTCTCACCAAAAAAAATGACAAGTTGGTGCGGGGATGGATATGTTCATTAGTTTAATTGAATTTTCTCTATAATGTATACATAGCTCAAAATATCATATTGTACTTCATAAATATAAACAATTATTATTATTACCTAAGATAAAAATATGTAATATTTAAATTAATAAAAATACTTATTTAGGGCTCACAGTATTGAGCAAGATATGGTTAGAAATATGTCCTGAGTACTTCCTATCTTATTATACTGGACAACTATTCTCCTTGCCCTGAGATTAGGTTCCATATTCTGATCTAGTACAACTTCTGAATAACCTTTTTTTTTTTTTTTTTTTTGAGACAGGTCTCCCTTTGTCACCTAGACTGGAGTTCAGTGGCACTATCTCAGCTCACTGCAGGCTCAACCACCTGGACTCAAGCTATCCTCCCACTTCAGCCTCCCAAGTAGTTGGGACTACAGGTGTGTGTCACCATACCTGGATTTTTTTTTTTAATTTCTAGCAGAAACGAGGTCTCACTATAATGTCCAGGCTGGTTTCAAACTTCTGGGCTCAAGTGATCCTCGTGATTTGGCTTCCCAACATGAAAAATGCTGGGATTACAGGTGTAAGCCACCACACTCAGATCTTGAATTATTAAATATTTGTCTTTTTGATGTTTCTTCCGAAGATTTTGCACTTATTCTCACACAAGCAAAATTGTAGATCTCTCTTAGAGTTGGTAGGTTTTTCCTACTGCACTTTTGCAAGAGCGGTGTTTATTTCCCCTGGAAATGCCAAGCCAACTAAAAATTATATACTTATACATATACACAAATTCTGCCTCTCTCTCTCATACACATGTGTATGAGACAGAGAGAGAGAGAGAGATTCTACCTGAAAACCAATAAAATTTTATTGGTTCTCTTGGGCTTACAATGAGTTACGCATTCTTTAATATAAATGTTCTAGTATATAAATGAAGTATGCACTAAGTAATTTCTAAAGTACTGGCAGAGAATTGATTCCAGAAAAAATAGGAATATACTTTGATTAAGCAATAAAGAGAAAGCTCTGACACTTAAAAAAAAAAAAACAGAAAGAAGGTAAGTAATTTTGTAAGTAAACTAATAGGGAGACAGAAGAGCAGCATAGTACCATGCCCTGGAAGCCAAGGGGAAAGAGAAATCCCCAAGGCCACCTGACCAAGAACTTTCAATACTGCAAGGAGATTTTGCCCCCTTTTCTTCACTTGTTTATTTTTCACACAACACCCACAGGTATCTTTTTATAATTTATGTCAGATTATTACTTTTCCGTGCTTAACATATAAATGACTTCTCATATCAGTAGAATTATAATTCAAAATTCTACCTTTGGTCTCTTCTTACTTTGAGACTATGCAATGTTGCCCAATTGCCTAACCCTCTTTCCTAATATATTGCCTTGGATACTCCTTAAGTTCCTGGAGCCAACCAAGCTTGCTTGTGCTTTAGATGCTTCGTCTTCCCCTCCCCTCTAAATCCCCTCTCCTCAAATTTGGGCTAAAAAGTTGCCATGAGAGAGGGGCCTTGCTGATCTTTCTGTCTACAACAGCACATACATTGCTCTATTTCCTCACCAAACTTTGATTTTTAATAGTTTATTGTGACCTTGTAGATCAATTTATCTTTGTATCTGTTTAGCCCCTATGCACCTCATTTGAACAGAAGCCTTCTAAGTTTGGTAACCAATCTCTTGTTCTCTTTTGCCAGTACTAGAAATAGTTCTTGATCTATGGTACTCTTAACAAATGTTTACTGAATCAATGAATGGGTGATGGTGTCATTTAGGTTTTTCACGTACTGGGATAATAGGAACATTTGAAACAACAATTTAAATATAGTTATAGACAATAAGACGCATTCCAAAGAGAGTGTGTGTTTGTGCAAGTGGTTAACTTGAATTCATACTTTTGCTTCATTACTATGGTTCATTGGCAAGAAGAAGGAATGCTAACTAGAAATGTCACCAGAAATAAAATTATGTTAAACACATTTGAGTGAGGGAGAGATGGAGTCACTGCAGAGAAAATTTGATGGATCAGAGGCAAGGTGGCAAAAAAATAATTGGTCAAAAAAGATATTTATGAAAGCTGGAAGGAAATGTGAGTGAAAAGAAGAGAGACTAAATGGAGGTTAAAAAAAATACAGGTTTTCTGCAGGTGAGAAGAACAGTTGAAGGAAAATCGTAAGGTAACCTCAAAATTCTCAACCTGTAAATACAATTTCTACAGATATATGGAAACATAAAACAGCTGTAGAGTTGGCACTACAAGGAACAGAAGAAAATATTATTGATAGATGGGACAGGATCATCCCAGAAGCAATAAATATGCAATAGGGCTAATCGTATTTTGCTAAGCACTGCAAAACATTGAGAGCAGCCTGCAAGCAGAGACAGAAAGTAGAAAGTGTAGCTTAATTGGTTAGGGATTAGCCCAGTGTTGCCAATGGAGGGATGAAAAATAAGAACGTCAATTGGAAGTCTTTTATGGGAACAGAAATCCTGATTATACCAAGATCACATATATGATCTAACCAATTTTGAGGAACTAATTTTGAAGCAGTCAATCATAAACAATTCTAATATTTTTACAGAATAAAATAAATTAGGGAATTCCATAAAACACTTTTGAAATTTTCTGTGATACTTAACAAAGTGATTTCACATCATCCCAGCAGCAGAGATTGACCTATTATTCACAAAAACTTTTCTGGCATTGATGGTTTTCTGGTGTACTTACTTTGGATTTAGAATGTTCTGCAATTTGCTTCTCCTGACAAACATACACTCACAAACACACACACACATACACTCACAAACCCAGTAGGGAAATTGCCCTCCCACACTTAGCATTTTTTTAATTTGATTCTCAGGCATGAAACTTACTTCAACACTTGTATTCCCATGCACCTGCACACACACTTTCCTCTGTCACCTTCTTTCTCTCTCTCTCATTCTCATACATGTGCGTAAATGTTAAATAATCTGCAATGTTTTCAACACAGAATTTGACAGTGATTGTGTTAGGATACTATGAGATGATTTTATGAAAAATAGTTTATAAGATACAAAATAAAAACAAGATCAATTCCTTTATAGGCCCATGTATCCCATTTCAAAAGCCAATTGCTTAAAAGTGAGAAGAGGAGAACAGATTCATAGAAAGACTGGTTATAATATTGGAGTCATAAGCTTTTTCTAATATAGATAATATGTATGTTTTCGTATGTGCTTGTCTGTGTGTACCTTATGCTCTAATGACTTTTGGCTCCTAAGAGTTGTCTTTATTATTCTAATAAGCAGTTAATAAAAGGTGCAAATGATCTTAGAGATATTCAAAACCATAACAGGGCATAACTCTCCTAAAAGCAATGATTATTTTTTTCTTATTATTTATAATTAAGTTTATCTGTAAAATCAATCTGAAACTCCTTTTCACCATTTATTATTATTCTTTTTTTTATTATACTTTATGTTTTAGGGTACATGTGCACATTGTGCAGGTTAGTTACATATGTATACATGTGCCATGCTGGTGTGCTGCACCCACTAACTCGTCATCTAGCATTAGGTATATCTCCCAATGCTATCCCTCCCCCCTCCCCCCTCCCCCCACCCCACAGTCCCCAGAGTGTGATATTCCCCTTCCTGTGTCCATGTGATCTCATTGTTCAATTCCCACCTATGAGTGAGAATATTCGGTGTTTGGTTTTTTGTTCTTGCGATAGTTTACTGAGAATGATGATTTCCAATTTCATCCATGTCCCTACAAACGACATGAACTCATCATTTTTTATGGCTGCATAATATTCCATGGTGTATATGTGCCACATTTTCTTAATCCAGTCTGTCATTGTTGGACATTTGGGTTGACATGATTGTATATCTAGAAAACCCCATTGTCTTATTATTATTCTTTAAAAATGTATTAGGATGGCTGGGAACTGTGGCTCACACCTGTAATCACAGCACTTTGGGGGGCAGAGGTGGGTGGATCTCCTGAGGTCAGGAGTTCCAGAGCAGCCTGGCCAACATGGTGAAACCCCATCTCTACTAACAATACAAAAATTAGCCTGGCGTGGTGGCATGCACCTGTAATCCCAGCTCCTTAGGAGGCTGAGGCACAAGAATAGCTTGAACCAGGAGGTGGATGTTGCAGTGAGCTAAGATCGCACCATTGCACTCCAGCCTGGGTAACAGAGTGAGATTTCGTCTCAAAAACAAACAAACAAACAAACTATATATATATATATATATATATATATATGTATATATATATATATACACACACACACACACACACACACACGCACACACAGATACATTTAGCACATGTATAGTTGAGGATCAAATATATGTGAATAAGTTACTTTTTCTAACGAAAAGTCTTCTAGTATTCTATTTTTGATATTTGAACTAAGCATTAATGTTAGTTTCTAAAAAGTTCCATTTTTCCAAGAAGTGGTGTTGTGCAAAACGGAATGATCAATTATGATATTATCCACCATGCAATTCTAATTGTGATTTATTAATATACTCTAGAGAGTGGCCATTATCCTGTTAGGCAATTAAAAAGCACTTAGAGTTTATAACATGAAAGACAGGTTTGTTTATTTGCCCTTTTAAAAATGATGAATAATTTAAAATATTTTCAATGTGCGGTGGTGAATTGATAATAGATAATGAATGAATGAAGTAACAAACACATTTCAGGGCTGGGTTCGGTGGCTCATGCCTGTAATCCCAGTACTTTGTGAGGCTGAGCCAGGTGGATTACTTAAGGTCAGGGGTTCGAGACCAGCCTGGACGACATGGTGAAACCCATCTCTACAAAAAATACAAAAATTAGCTGGGTGTGGTAGCACACGCCTGTAATCCCAGCTACCAGGGAGGCTGAGGCAGAAGATTTGCATGAACCCAGGAGGTGGATGTTGCAGAGCTGAGATCACGCCACTGCACTCCGCACTGGGCGACAAAGCGAGACTGTTTAAAAAAAAAAATCAAAGGTAACACTATTATATATATTAAATTGAAGGTTTTTAGTGATTTTGTGCATGACCTGGATGGATCTCAGAGTCATGATGATAAGTCATAAGAGCATGCAATTGCATCTAAGCAGCTTAGACCCGAACATGGGACATTGACCAGAGCGATTCTTCTGAAACTGCCATGCTCCTCCTCTGCCTGTATGAGGCCTGATCCAGAGATTCATATGTAAATGATGCTGTGTATAAGATGTTAGAGGAAACACCTTTGGAGGGGTATAGCGACAAATTTCCTTTACCACTCTATATCTTCAAGAATTTTCCATCGTTTCTCTTCAATTTCACCTGGATGTGTTTCTGTTCCAGCATTCCACAAACATTGCCTAAAATGTGTGTGCTTTGTGCTTTCTTTGCTAAATGTCAGACCAGTCGAGGCTAGGTTACCTGTTTTCTCATTTTAGGAGAGAGCTTAGGACTTTTTATATTGAAATGATATTCAAGAAAACTTTTGCATGGCTTCACATGGGATCAAGATTATATTATTCACATGTAAGCACGGCTTTCTATGGCAAATGTATAATACATGAGTATTTGAATTAATAAATTATTTTTTGTCATGGAATAATCATCAATGTAGCACATTCTTGAAAAGCTCCATTACATGTTCAAAAGCTGTTTCAACTTCTGATATACTATAGTTCTATGTTTTGGCTATAAACAGGATCAGGACCCTCAAAGTAGCTCATGTGTGCAATTTGGAAACTATTATTTTTTGAAAAGTATTCAATAACTTAAATTACTTTCTAAAAATTATCATATGCCTCTAGGTTTCCAAAAGACTAAAAGAATTCTGCTTTTAGCTCAATTTTTCAATACCTATTTTTTTTAAGTTAAAGGGTATTTTTTAAAGTATATTCATTTTCCAACGGCTCGATCATTTTCTTTTCCCCTAAGTAACATATGGGTTCACAGGCATTTGATCACAATTTGCTAATTTCCTCTGTGTTGATGACAATTAGTTATTATTATTCCCTATTGGGGTAATCAAATTTTGATTGCATGTTAGATATCTACAATGTTAGAATTATATCTGCTTTTATATTATATTCCATAATGGATTTGCTTATTTAGCCTAAAGATATAGTCTACTGTTATAATTGGCAATTAAATTTGTTTTCAATAACCCTCAACTCTCTTTTTTCATTTCTTTTTCTTATACTACCAGTTTTATTATCTTTATGCTTCTTTTCAGATATTTCATTGGTTTGTAAAAATGCTTTCTTTTTAAGTTAAACAAAATTACCATTTATAGAAAATCTCTTAATATACCATAACCTACTTGACCCATTATCCTTGTTGAAATATGAATTTTACTACAGTTTTCTTGTGATCATTACACAGTGCCATTCAGAACATTTTTAGAGTTTCTTTTTCAAAAAGCAACAAACAATAACATTAAAAATGTCAAAATAAACACAAACAGTAGAAAACAATAAAACATACCTTCAAAAAAGGCAAAAGGAGGAAAATTTTCTAAAGAACTGAAGTCAGAGAAAATAAAATATAAAGTGGAAAGGAGATTAAAGATGTACTTTTAAACTTCCCAAAGGAAATATATTTGCTATTTTACTAATCACTGTGAGCCTGCCTAAGGAAGATAATCATATATTCATATCTCAATCTTTTTGAGTTTTATTTTTACCTCATTGTGTAGAAAAATGAAATAACCTCTTATAGTATTAGTTTTACGAGAGAAACTTGAAAACTATATAAAAGATACACCATCATGCTCACACACAGACACAAACACACACACATGCACACACAAATGCACACACACAAAATAATGGACTGTTCAGAGCAAATAGAGCTATTGGTAATTAAACTATGAAAGTCATCTACTACTTCTGTTTTCCTGGAATTAAATCTTAACTGAACTGAGCAATTTTTAGTATATTATTTAAGGCTATTCACAATTACTACTTTACTTTATCTACAATGATATGTTGTGTAATGTGATGTAAAAGGCATGTGTATTGGTTAGTGTTTGAATCAAAGTGCTGTCTTCATAACCTGGAAACCCATGTACTAATTTACTCTCATTTGTATGAGTTTGAAAATTGGACTTTATAGAAAATTTAAACATCATTAAAGAGTGTACTCACATTCTAGGGAAAGCTGGAATGAGCTAATTTGAGTGCATATTCTGCATATATGCATCTTATGTTTCAAGATTAGTGAAAGAAGAAAGCCTTAATGAGGAGAAAGCTACTTTTCTGCCAGTGATGCAATATCAGTGAATAGTATTGTTAGCCAATTACTCGGGAATTTTATAGAAAAATATATTAAAATTAGGATTGAATATATAGTTCAAGCACATATAATAGTTGTATAACAATGAAATGTGTATACTATCACCCATTCTTAAAATATAGTGATTCAAGAGGATATTTCCTTTGCTATTTTTCTTTACTGCTTGGTCTCTATTTTTAATTCCTCTGGGTGATTTTCCCACTGATTCTCTCTTCCACTAGATGTCAGGCAAGAGGAGGGAGTGGTAGTGAATCTCAAACTACGACTACAGTTACTTTTTAAAGTGTTGGAAATTGATGACTAAACATAGCTAAAGTGAATAGCGATCAGGCATATGGAAGATAAAATGCTCCGATAATTAATTTGAAATAATATTAATAACATCAGCTGCAGAAGGAACTGTATTCTCTCACAGTAATTCCAATCTCTGTTTTATCTTCCTGAGGGAAAAAAAATTCCCTGACTGTTTAGCAAGTTTAGTTCCACTTATGCTTTCCTAAAACAACATGCACTTCTCCTTTGTAGCATTCAACACAATTTTAATTGAATAATTAATTTTGTCAAGGTTGACTGAATGCATATTCACTACCTCCTTTCAAATATAAACCTTGTGAGGTAGGGACTAAGTCTGTTTCGTTAATTGTTTTATTCACAGACTGTAGCATAATACATTGGCAGATAGAAAACTTTAAAAAAAAATCATGCACTGAAGACATGACTAAATAAAAGGAATAAATATGAAATAATGAACAGATGAATGATGATATGAAGTTATCCATTTCTAGCAGGAACATATTTCATTTTTAGATTCATTGTTCAGGCTCAATTTATTTATTTCTCTTAAAAACTTACAAGACTCGTGAGAATGCTCTGGCCTCTTTAGTAGACTAGCTATAATATGATGGTTAAAATATCCTTAGAAGGAAGCACTAATGACACTATTGATACATAATGGATGATTCCCACAATAAAAAGGGGCACAATTTAGAAACGCATATTCTACTTGAGAACATAAATATATGAGTGATTTGAGCATATTATGCATGTTTTTACCATGTGATAGTTTATTATGTTACATGCCAATTCCTCTAGTGAGCACTTAAAATGCACAACAGAAGATGACTTATCATCCTTGCTTCTCCTTGCCCAATTCGTGTTCCATGCTATTGAATTAACTACTTCTTCTCCCTAGAAAAATCAATCTCCCTCATTCTTAATGGACGTGAAGATTTTCTTACTTACTTCTCAGGAAACCTCTACATGCCACCTTCTCAATAAATCATCCCCCAACTCCCTAGGTATATAATTGCCGGTTCTCTTTGTTCCCATGCACATTTATGTAAGTAAGATCTGCAATAACACGTAGCAAGTTTTATTGCAGCTTATAGCATATATGCATGTTTCTTGCCAAGTATTAAATGCCCTCACAAAGGGAACCATATTTATTATCTGTAGGCCTTTGCAGAGTAATACAAGTTAGATACCTAGTAAATATGTTGAATAATTTAATAACATAATAAACTGAGTATAAAGTGAGGGAAGGTGAAGAGTTTTATCATTTAGAGTAGGTACTGAAATAGCATAATCAATTAAGGATTCAGTCCCATTAAATTAGGTAATCTGAGTATAAGTCAATAATCAAATTTTAAGCATTGCCTCTTTCTTTTACTTCCAAGATCAGAGATTCAGCTATTTACTTTCAGGGCTACGGCATATCTTATTTTGCTAGTTTCCAGGAATAATTTGTCTTTGCTTCATGATGTCATATTTCATTTTCCTCTGATACCTTCACTATCTCACATCAGAAGTTTATTCTTTAGAAATCTTCGTTCTTTTTCACAGTTCTCAACATTTAGATCGTAACATACATGGATGCAATTCATCAATCAATAATTAAGTTAGCATTAGTGAATTCTATATTTTTATCTTATTGCCTTTACAAAATAGGAAATTTGAAGTGGGTTATTTCTGTTCACAATAATCTAGTATTTCTTACTTACAGTAAATTCCATTATGACAATTGAGAGTAGAATGAAGAATGGAGGAGGAACTTCTCTGCGAAAACAAATAATTTTGTAAGCTTTTTCCTCAATGCACTAATTAAGTGGGAGACCATGGATTTCATTAGGAAAAGATGTTATGGCTGAGGCTGGTCACTGGAGCACAGAAGTTCAAGACAAGCCTGGGCAACATAGCAATACCCCATCTCTACAAAAGTAAAAAATAAATTAGGCAGGAGTGGCAGCATACAGCTATGGTTTCAGCTACTTGGGAGGCCGAGATGGGAGGATCATTTGAACATGGGAGGTCAATGCTGGAGTGAACTGTGTTCACACCACTGCACTCCAGCCTGCACTCCACTTATTCCAGAGTAACATTCTGTCTCAAATTTTAAAAAAGAAAAAAAAAGGAGGAGAGAGAAAGAGAGAGAATATGGAGCCAGGCACATATCGTATCCTATCTCAAATGTATTTTCAGTGCCTTATTTTTACAATTTAACTACATCCACATATTGAAGTGTACTCTAGTCTTTCCTGATAAAATAAAAAGCAAAACATATGAAAACATACAAACACAATAACAGTGTCTGTTTATATCTCACACTTTTTTCTCCTGTTACTAGCCCATTTCTTTCCTCTTAAGTTCTATACTCATGATCTTCCTTTCATAACACTTACAACACATCAATAAACCTACATTTTTATCCCTAAGGTTATCATTGACTTTCATGTTGCTAAATTCAATAGACATTATCAGTTTTCATTCTCGGATTATTTTCACATTTTTTTACGGTGGAATTTTCTTCTCATTCTCTTTTGACTCCTCTACATTGTGTGCGTGCGTGTGCACGAGCACGTGCATGTGTGTACCAATGCATGTGAATGTGAATTGTGTATATACATGTAAGGTTTTCTTCTTTTTTTTCTCTTTTTTTTTTTTTGGAGACCAAGTCTCGCTATGTCGCCCAGGCTGGAGTGCAGTGGCATGATCTCGGCTCACTGCTAGCTCCACCTCCCTGGTTCACGCCATTCTCCTGCCTCAGCCTCCTGAGTAGCTGGACTACAGGCACCTGCCACCACACCCGACTAATTTTTTGTATTTTTAGTAGAGACGGGGTTTCACCGTATTAGACATGATGGTCTCAATCTCATGACCTTGTGATCCGCCTGCCTCAGCCTCCCAAAGTGCTGGGATTACAGGCGTGAGCCGCCGCGCTTGGCCTATACATGTTAAGTTTTTAAGGATAATATCTGTTCTGATAAATCTACAACAACAAAGGATAATGTTTAGCATATAGATACCACTTAGTAAATGTTTATTAAGTGATTTGCTATAATGTAAATGATGGCAGCAATGAGCAGTGGCTGCTGCCAAGACACCAGCTGCAGTGGGGTAGGTGTGGCTGGGCTGCATGCTCCATGGAGCGGGCGGGAGCTGATATCAAGCGGTAGCCTCACCCTCCTGGGTACAGCTATAGAGCCACGGCTGCGGACCCGGGCATCTCTGTACCCTGCCCCACTTTCAGGCTCAGAGATGTCTGCTCCCATTGCCTGACTTCTTCCAGCTCCTGGCACCAATCTTGAAGGGAGGTTGGTCCTGAATCCAGGTGTTTTCACAGCCTGGCCGGGTGTACACATGTTTGGGGTAGCGCTGACACGCAAGCTCCCCGCTATGTCGCCCCCGCCGGACTTTGGGTGCTGATGAGCATGTGAGGGAAGCTGAGGGGAGGTGAAGGGCAGCTCAGTGCTGTACTGCAGGTGCCGCTTCACGTAAACAGCCTGGGCTCCATGAACAGCGGCAAGAGACAGACAGGCTCCTAGGTGGAAGGGGACGTGTCCCTAATAAAGCTCCACCTTCAAGCTGGGAGGACTTGAATCCCAGGGCAGGCTGCGGGTCCTGCGGACTAGAATGGGGACTTGTGGGGTTTTTTCAGGGCCCACCATGGCCACCCATGGACCAATCGGCATGCACTTCCTCCCCTCTGAGGTCCATAAAAGCCCTGAACTGAGCCATACTTGAGGACATGACAGGATGGCAAGCTGTGGAGATGAACCACCCACTCCAGGGTCTCTTCTTTGCTCAGAGTTGAACATTCTTTGGGTCACCCTGACAGCAAAGAGGAGCTATGCATTGTGGGTCTCCTCTGAGCTGCTCAATAAAACTCCTCATTGCCTTGCTCACCCTCCACTTGTCTGCGTACTTCATTCTTCCTGGGTGCAGGACAAGAACTCCGGCACTGCCTACTGGCAGGGTTAAGAGAAATGAGACACAAACAGGGCTGAAACATGCCCCTTGCTTGCCACGTTGTGGGTGACAAGAAGGAGAGAAGAGAGAAGGAAAGAAGAGCTGCAGCCCTACAGGGAGCTCAGACCTGGGAAATCCCCAAGCCAGTGCTTCCGGAATTGGTGGGTTCTTGGTCTCACTGACCTCAAGAATGAAACCGCAGACCCTCGCGGTGAGTGTTACAGCTCTTAAGGTGGTGTGTCTGGAGTTTGTTCCTTCTGATGCTCGGATGTGTTCGGAGTTTCTTCCTTCTGGTGGGTTCGTGGTCTCGCTGGCTCAGGAGTGAAGCTGCAGACCTTCGCGGTGAGTGTTACTGCTCATAAAAGCAGTGTGGACCCAAAGAGTGAGCAGTAGCAAGATTTGTTGCAAACAGGGAAAGAACAAAGCTTCCACAGGGTGGAAGGAGACCCGAGCGGGTTGCCACTGCTGGCTGGGGCAGCCTGCTTTTATTCTTTTATCTGGCCCCCACATCCTGCTGATTGGTAGAGCCCAGCGGTCTGTTTTGACAGAGTGCTGATTGGTGCGTTTACAACCCCTGAGCTAGACACTAAAGTTCTCCACGTCCCCACAAGATTAGCTAGATACAGAGTGTGGACACAAAGGTTCTCCAAGGCCCCACCAGAGTAGCTAGATACAGAGTGTGGATTGGTGCATTCACAAACCCTGAGCTAGACGCAGGGTGCTGATTGGTGTGTTTACAAACCTTGAGCTAGATACAGAGTGCCGATTGGTGTATTTACAATCCCGGAGCTAGACATAAAGGTTCTCCAAGGCCCCACCAGACTCAGGAGCTTAGCTGGCTTCACCCAGTGGATCCCGCACCGGGGCTGCAGGTGGAGCTGCCTGCCAGTCCCACACTGGGCACCCGCACTCCTCAGACCTTGGGTGGTCGATGGGACTGGGCGCCATGGAGCAGGGGGCTGCTCTCACTGGGGAGGCTTGGGCCACACAGGAGCCCATGGAGGGGGTGGGAGGCTCAGGCATGGCTGGCTGCAGGTCCCGAGCCCTGCCCCCCGGGAAGGCAGCTAAGACCTGGTGAGAAATCGAGCGCAGCGCTGGTGGGCTGGCACTGCTGGGGGACCCAGTACACCCTCCGCAGCCGCTGGCCCGGGTGCTAAGCCCCTCATTGCCCCGGGCCGGCAGAGCCGGCCGGCTGCTCCCGCCGGCTGCTCCCGCCGGCTACTCCCGCCGGCTGCTCCGAGTGCGGGGCCCTCCAAGCCCACGCCCACCCGGAACTCCAGCTGGCCCGCAAGCGCCGCGCGCGGCCCCGGTTCCCGCTCACGTCTCTACCTCCACACCTCCCTGCAAGCTGAGGGAGCCGGCTCTGGCCTTGGCCAGCCCAGAAAGGGGCTCCCACAGTGCAGTGGTGGGGTGAAGGGCTCCTCAAGTGCCGCCAAAGTGGGAGCCCAAGCAGAAGAGGCGCCAAGAGCGAGCGAGGGCTGTGAGGACTGCCAGCACGCTGTCACCTCTCACCAGGGCTGTGAAACCCTCTTTGGGGTTCTGTGGTTACTGGTGATTCCAAGGTTTTGGCGCCACTGCATTCTCTGGTGCCAACTGTGAAAGGTGTTTGAGGTACGGCTGGTCCAGCAGCAACCTTGCAGGGAGCTGGTGCCCATGCCTGCACCTGGAGCTTCCACCCCACTGCAGCAGGCATGCCTGGATGTGCGCAGTGGCCAGACCCTGCGCTCGCTCATACACCCTTCGCCACTCTGTGCCTGGCTCACCTTTGGTGGGCATTGGATTCAGGCCAGTAGCGCAAGCCAAGTGCGACCTGCCAGGCCAAGTGGGTGGACCAAGCCCCGCGGGGCCAAGCAAAACTCAGGCAAAGGTGCCACTGACCGCAGAGGTTTCTGGCTGGCAAAGCAACACCCCAAGTATCCCATGACGTAAATACATAAATTATAACTATTTCGATTTGTTGATCTTAAGGTACTTATAGAAAGAACATCTATTTGAAATTCTAAAATACTTTGTAAATTTTTCAGAAGAATAAATTACTTAGGAAATAATCAGAAGGGGGAGTTTGTACGTTTCCCATCTTAGAATTTGAAAACCATACCCCTCTTACATTGTGTGTGTGTTTGATAACTTTCAATTATTGAATTTATATGAAGATGGTCCCAACTTATGATAGTTCAACTTACTATTTTTCTACCTGACAATGGTGCAAAAACCACATTCAGTAGAAACCATACAAGTACCTCTATAACCATTCTGTTTTCACTTTCAGTAAAATATTAAATAAATTTCATGAGATTTTCAATACTTTATAAATAAGCTTTATGTTAGATAATTTTTCTTATCTAGCTTAACATTTTGTAGGCTAATGTTAGTATTATGAGCATATTTAAGGTAGGCTAAGCTAAGCTATGATGCTCAGTAGGTTATTTGTATAAATACATGTCTGAATTATAATATTTTAAACTTAAGATAAGTTTATTGGGATGTAACCCCATTGTAAGTCAAGGAGCATTTGTATTTTTAAAGGTAAAAATATTTATACATGGCTCAGGATGCAGCTTTTTGTCTGTCTCTATCAGGTAATATGTATGATTTTTAAGTGGTTAAAATAAAAACTGTCCTGTGAATTATTAGCACCATACTCTGTCCAAGTAAACTACTGAACCAAAACATTCTGTTCTTAATGTCATAGAGAAAATGAACAAGCTGAGATGTCAGCATCACCTCAGTGTTTATGACTTTTGCTCACAATTAGCATACCCACAGTTTAACTAAAACTAGTGATGGCCATTTCAGAATGAATGAATTTGTACATGCATCTAGACTATCTCCTATTATTTACTGCCTGCCCTTTATAACATCATATGAAGTTGTAGTCTTATAAATATGCTTTATATTGTAGGGAAATGATTTATTTTTTCATGCATATATTTCTAAACTTCTACATTACTTCTATTATTTATTCATAACACTCTTCAAAATAAAACAGCTGGTTGCATAAGCAGTGGTAAGCTAACATGTTGACAGGAAAAACATTTCACCAAAATTACATTATACAGTTGAGAAGTTGAGGACAACACTGTCACTCCTCAAGTGCATTGATGATGTTTATTTAAGAATTAAAGTTGAGAATTACACAGAAATGCAATAGACATATGCTTTGCATATGAAGGAAGCATTATAGTAACTTTCGCTATCTGCACTGAAGGACAGCAAGCATTCTGATATTAAACATGAGATTCTAAGATCAAGGGCTCAGTGGGAAACGGAGGTTAATACTGGAATATGTGAAGGTAAGTTGGAAATGTGGATCAAAAGAACAAGAAATATAAGTAGTTTGTTTTTTAACATGTAGCATTTAGCAGTTAGGGTAATAATGTATATTACATGTTGCTCTAGGTGTCAGGATATCAGAGATTAGTAAGATAAACAAGTCCGTTCCCATAAGGAGTTAATTTATAATGGAAGTCTTGCAAAATTGTATATAGAGTAAATAGGGTGTGTGTGTATGTATACTTATATACAAACACATATTTATACTACGAAAAATATTCAAAATCAGTAAAATGGTATGGAATTACTGAAGTGGGGGTGTTAATATGGAAAGTAAAATCAAGCAATGTCCAATTAAGGACTTCTCCTTTGATTACAAACTTGAATAAATGAAACAAAACTGAGAAACAGGTAAAAATACTGGAGAAATATTCATACAAAAATCAGTAGATAAATGTTCATAGTGGCTTTTTGCATAATATCCAAAACAGAAACAACCCAGATATCCTTTAGTGGTAAATGGATTAGCATATTATTATGTTGGAATGCTACAGCCATATGCTGGACTACTACTCAGTAACAAAAAGGATGTATGAATCCCAAAGACATTTTCCTGAGTAAAAAACCCAATCTCAAAGGGTTACATGCTGAATTATTGTATTTATATTATGTTTTTGAAGACACAAAATTACAATAATGATATATAGGTGTTTGCCAGGCTTTAGGTTTGAAGGAGGGATGAGGAGATTTCTTTGTGAGGATGCTGCGGTTTAGGCTTGAAGGAGGATATTACATGAGGAAATTTCTCTGCGGGGATATAACAGTTGTGTATCCTATTTATGGTGATGGTTATTCAAATATACTCAGAAATAAAACTTCATGGAAATTGATAGCCCACAAATCCATCCTACTCCTCCCAAAATGTGTAATCCAAATAAGCTATGTAGCTGAGGTAATGGTATTATACTCATATCTCTTTCCCAGTATTGGCAATGTCCTATGATTATGGAAGATATTACTCTTGGGCAAACATGAACTCTGTGCTATTTTTGCAACCTCTTGTGCAAAATAATCTGAAGCAGTTTCAAAATGAAAATACAATGCTGGAAAAAGAGCAGCAATTAGATTTCTAGGTGTGAACAATATAGCATGTTAGAGAAAAGTGTTAAATTTCCACAGCCCATAGAAAGCACTATACGTGTTTGTTAAATAAAAAAGCAAATAAACAGCAAATGTTCAAATGTAATTAAAGTGGAATAGTCAAGGGATATATGCAGAAGTAGTTAGAGGTAGCCAGGCTCCCATTACTGTTCAGATTTTATCTTGGATGGGAAAACATTATGGTATTTAGAGATGGAAAGTAAATTGAATTCATTCATAATTTACAACATAGCTGGTGAAAGGTTTCTCTCTGTGACTGATAATTAACCACTTGGCCACTATTTAACATGCTCCTATTGGCTTAGCCACTGTAATAGGCAAAGAAAAAGAAATGGAAGGTATAAGAAGTTAACAAGGAACTGATATTCCTAGAATATAATATGATTTATTCTTAGAAAACCATAAAGAATCTTCAAAAAGACTGTTATTCAATGTAAATGGATCTAATGGTTTAGGTTTACTATTTTCAAGGCTATTGGTTGCAGTCAATGAATTCCTATTATCTGTGACATAAAAAATGACTTTAAGAATAATGTAATATGGCCAGATGTGATAGCTTATGCCTGTAATACCAACTCTTTGGGAGGCTGAGGCAGGAGGATGGCATAAAGCCAGGAGTTAGAGACTGGCCTAAGCAATATAGTGAGGCCTTTGCCTCTATAAAAAAAATTTAAAATTTGCCAGGTATGGTGGCACGTGCTTGTAGTCTCAGCTAGGCATGAGGTTGAATCAGGAAGATTGCTTGAACTCAGGAGTTAGAAGCTGCATTGAGCTACGATAGGGCCACTGCATTTCAGACTGGGTATAAAGTGAGACCCTGTTTCTAAAAAAATAAAAATATAAAATAAAATTAAATGACACAGTACAACTGAATGAAAAATATCAAATGGCTAGCTAAAATTTGCAACAAAACTACAGTCTAGTCATTGTAAAGATTTATGCTTTCTTCAAATTTATCTATTTATTCAATGCAATTACAGTTAAATCTCTATCAAATTAGTTTTGGTAGTAAATGAATATCTGATTCTAAAATTTGTATGAAGTACTTTGTTCCAATAAGAGCCAAAACATTCTTGAAAAAGAATAAAAATTTATGGGAGGATTTACTCTATTAAATACCAATTTTAATATAAAGCTATAGTAACAAAATAATGTGCATTTGTCATGTGTATAAGCACATAATAAAACATGTATTATATAAGAACCAAAAGTAGACCAATATTTATAAAAATGTCATTTCAGAGCAGAACAGGAAAGTTGTTTTTCAATAAATAGAGATGTTAAGTTGGGATGTACATATACAAAAAGCAAATAAAACTTAATACATGCTGCAGTCCATTCATACAAATAAGATTAAGTAAAATTTACATCTAAGTGGAATATTCATCCATTAAATTATGTTAAATAAGTGTGAAACTATTTTCACTAATTTGATACAGTTATTAACTCAAGTTTTTGGCTTGTGATTTGCTATTTTTCCTCCTGAAAAGATGGAAAACCTTCATCCCCCCTCCTTGTCCCCGTCTGACTTTGGATTGATAATTTGGGTTGTTTTGGTCATTAAAATGAGCCAGAAGTGACAGGGTGCTGTTTACAAGCTTAGGGCTTAGGAGGTTTAAAGTGGCTTATTTATTTATTTATGTATTTTTCACTTCTGTTCTCACACTGTGAAGAATGTGCACCAGCAAGCCCTTTGGTCGTAGGCGGAGGGTGAGAGACACTTGGACAGCTATCTTCACTGAGTTGAACCCCAGAGAAGAGGCAACATATCTGAATCACAGATGTGCACTGAGAAGCAGTCAGTCTGCCAATACGAACCCTCCTGCAGACTTTTGAGCAAAAATGAATATTGTTGTTTGAAGCTATTGAATATTGGGCTGCCTTTATATTGAGAATTCTGTTGGGAATCACTAACGTGAATTTGGGGGAAGAAATCTACATTTTTAAAATACGAGTTGAACAGCATTAAACATAAAATATTACTAAATTGAACTACATTAAAATTATAACTTTTCTTACCAAAAATCATTATGAGAGCAAAAAGCAAGCCATAAAAGAGTCTTTTTTCCCTTAAAATATGAAAAAGTTTTGCAAATCAATAGTAAAAGAATATCAAAATAGAAAAAATGTGCAAGATAATTTTTCAGGCACGGCGTGAAACAGTATCTCCAAATGACCAACAAACATTTGAAAAGGAGCATCATTTTATTAGCAATTACGTTACTGCAAATTGAAAGCAAATTAACAGAAACTCATGATTGGATTAATGCAAATTAAGAGAAAAATGAGATAGTACTACCGATTCCCAGAATGAATACTATTTAAAGGCCTGACAATAACAAGTATTGGATTGTGAGGCAAATGGATTCTCGAATGCTGCTTGTGGGGTTATAAATCAATAGCGCAACTTTGGAAAGTAATTTAGTATTTTCTAGTAAAATGAATTACACATGAATGCAAAATTAATAATTCCATTTATAGGTATTTGAGAGTGCTTATGTTTACTGAA
The DNA here is from genome assembly GCF_000001405.40 of Homo sapiens. NCBI lineage: Eukaryota > Metazoa > Chordata > Mammalia > Primates > Hominidae > Homo > Homo sapiens. The sequence continues at coordinate 26,318,807 of NC_000005.10, read as the reverse complement.
ATATCACAACAATGTTCAAGGCAGCATTATAAATAGATGGCAAATAACTGGAAACAGACCAAATGTTCACTGATAATGAAATGATGAAAAATGAGCAGAATGTACCTACGTACGGCAAGTGTGACACTTAGGAAGCAATACTGGATAAAGATGCAACACAGATACATATTTTATAATTTTTCAAATTAATTTAAAACCAGTCAAAACTAAGCTTATAGTATTAGAAGACAAGATGGTGGTTATATCGTGGGATGAGGAGTGCGTCATTATTAGGATATAAAACTGGGAAAGTTTCTGCAGTCTGAGTAATATTTCTTGACCTGGCCATGGTTATAAAAGGGTTCTCATATTGTAAAATTTATTCAGTTGTTCATTTAAAAGTATATGTTTTTGTATTTGATTATTACTTGTCAGTTGAAAAATTATCCATAATCAAATTGCCAAGAACACAAAAGCCCAGAGCCAGGCAGATTCACAGTCGAATACTACAAGACATTCAAAGAATAATTGCTATTAAACCTATGGAAACTGTTCCAAAAGATTGAGAAAGAGAGAGTCCTCCATAACTCATTCTATGAAGCCAGCATCATCACCCTGATATCAAAGCCAGGAAAGGACATAACAAAAAAAAAAAGAAAGAAAAAAGAAAAGAAAACCACAGACTAATATCCCTGATGAACGTAGATGCAAATACATACCCTCAACAAAATACTAGCAAACCAAGTCCAACAGCACATCAAGGGGATAGTTCACCAAGTTCAAGTGAGTTTCATCCCAGGGATACAGGGTGGTTCAACATAACACAAGTCAATAAATGTGATCCTCCATTGAAACAGAATTAAAAACAAAAACCACGTGATCATCTCAATAGATACAGAAAAAGCATTCAATAAAATCCAGTATCCCTTTATGGCAAATATCTTCAAGAAACTAGGTCTAGAAGGAACATACCTCAAAATAATAAAACCCATAAATGACAAACCCACAGTCAACATCATAGTGAATGGGGAAAATTTGAAAGCATTTCCCCTGAGAACTGGAACAAAACAAGGATGCCCACTTTCACTTCTATTCAGCATAGTACTGGAAATCCTGGCCAGAGCAATCAGGCAAGAGAAGGAAAGAAAGGGCATCCAAATTGGAAAAGAGGTGGTCAAACTATCTCTGTTTGTTAATGATATGATCATATACCTAGAAAATGCCTCCAAAAGACTCCTAGATTTGATCAATGAATTCAGTAAAGTCTCAGGTTACAAAACCAATGAACACAAGTTAGTAGCACTGCTGTACACCACCACCAACCAAGCTGAGAATCAAATGAAGAACTCAATCCCTTTTATGATAGCTGCAAAAAATAAACATAAAATACCTGGAAATAAACTTAACCAAGGAGGTAAAAAGATTTTTACATGGGAAACTACAAAGCACTACTGGAATAAATCATAGATGACACAAGCAAATGGAAAATATCCTATACTCATTGATTGGAAGAACCAACATCATAAAAATGACCACACTGCCCAAAGAAATCTACAGATTCAATGCAATTCCTATTAGAATATACCAACATCATTTTTACAGCGTTAGAAAAAACAATCCTGAAATTCATATGGAACCAAAAAAGAGCCTGAATAGCCAAAGCAATCCTAAGCAAAAAGAACAAATCTAGAAGCATCACATCACCAAACTTCAAATTATAATGCAAGGGTATAGTAACCAAAACAGCATGGTACTAATATAAAAGTAGATACATAGACCAATAGAAAAGAAGAGAGAATCCAGAAATAAAGCCAAATTCTTATCAACCAACTGATCTTTGACAAAGCATACAAAAACAAATTGGCAAAAAGAACCGTATTCAATATATGGTGCTCAAAAACCTGAATAGCCACATGTAGAAGACTGAAACTGTATCCATATCTCTCACCACAAACAAAAATCAACTCCAGATGGATAAAAGATTTAAATCTAAGACCTGAAACCATAAAAATTCTAAAAGAAAATCTAGGAAAGACTATTTTATACATTAGCCTAGGCAAATAATTTATGACTAAGACCCCAAAAGCAAATGCAATCAAAACAAAAATAAATAAATAGGATGTAATTAAACTAAAAGGCTTCTTCACAGCAAAAGAAATAATTATCAGAGTAAACAGGCACCCCAGAGAATTGGAGAAACTATTTGACAAGTGTATCCAACAGAAAACTGATATCCAGAATCTATAAGGACCTCAACAAATCTGCAAGAGAAAAAAAATCTCATCAAAAAGTGGGCAAATGACATGAATAGACATTTCACAAAATAAGAAACACAGATGGCCAACAAATGTTAAAAAATGCTTAACATCATTAATCATCAGGGAGATGCAGATTAAAACCACAATGAGATACCTCCTTATCCCAGCCAGATAACCATTATTAAAAAGTCAAAAAACAATAGATGTTGTGGATGTGGTAAAAGGGAATGCTTATACACTGTTGATGGGAATCCAAATTAATACAACCTCTGTAGGAAACAGTAGGGAAATTCTCTAATAATTAAAAGTACATCTACCGTTCAATACATCAATCCCGTTAATGGGTATCTACTCAAAGGAAAAAAAGTCATTATATTAAAAAGACCTCTGCACACATATGTTTATTGCAGCACAATTTACAATTGCAAATATATGAAACCAACCTAAGCACCCATCAGCTGATGAGTTCATCAAGAAAACGTCTTATATACACCATGGAATACTGCTTAGCCATATAAAATAATGAAATAATGTCTTTTGCAGCAACTTGGAGAGAACTGAAGGCCTTTATTCTAAGGGAAGTAATTCAGGAATGGAAAACAAAATACCGTATGTTCTCATTTATAAGTAGGAGCTAAGCTAAAGGTACGCAAAGGCATGTAGAGTGGTGTAATGGACACTGGAGACTCAGAAGGGGGGAGAGTGAGAGGGGTAAGAGATAAAAAAAAATTAGATGTTGGGTACAATGTACACTACTTGGGTGACAGGTGCAGTAAATTCTCAGACTTCATCCTATACAATTCATCCGTGTAATCAAAATCCACTTGTACCCCCAAAGTTATTGAAATATTATATGTGCATATATATGTGAGAATGGGTAGGTGTGTGTACATATACACATATGTACATATATCTATATCTATATATATATAGAGAGAGAGCGCCACAGTTTTAATGACAGCAATAAATAAATAAATAAATAAAACGTACCCATACTGCATTGCAGAGTAGAAACTATAGTGAGTATAGTGAGTCTTAAGTGGAGTCAGAACTGCCAGTCAAGTGCTGGCTTGGACCAGGTTATCAGTGGTGTGGATGTTGAGTAGTGACAATATATCAGGCATGACGGAAAGAGAAATCAAGGATGACTGCAAAGGTTTAGGCCTGGGTAACAGGATCAATGATGTGCATCTGGGGGAGTAAAAAGTTTTAGGTATGTATTGAATAGGGTGTGTTTGTTGTTGCCCTTTTTTTCTTTACTTCAATAAATCTTACACTTAGAAGACCTATTAAAATTCAACTAAAGATGGCATATAGGCATTGGAGTCATTTGGAGCTTAAGAGAGGACTAGCATGTCTGTTAAGTTTTGTGAATAATCACCACACAATCCTTAAAATGTGGAATTAGATGAAATATCATGGACAGACTCTGTAGAAAAGTAACAAAGGTTAATGACTGAACCCTGAGGCGTTTTGCCCATTATGAAGTAGGAAGCCAGCAAAGAAGAAAGAGAGTTAGGGAACTAGGGAACTACACACACACACACACACACACACACACACACACACACACACACAGAGAGAGAGAGAGAGAAAGAGACAGAAAGAGTGAGAAATCGTGTGATAACACAAGCAGTAAAGTGAACATTTAAAACAAAGTCTATATAGAATTAAAGCATATTTCTCTGCATTTCATGATGATTAAGGTAAAAGAGGAAGATAAATTATATAGATGAAAGAATGAAAAATTTTGGACCACAATCCCCCATGATGTGTGTTCTCCCTCTTGGCAACAAGTAACAAACCCAACTTTAATTAACAGTTGTGTTCCCACGCTGTCTTTGCCAGGAGAGACTTGACAAACCCCTTGACTGGTAACTGGACCAACAGGTCAGGTACTATTTCTAAAATTTCCTCTTGACTTCTCTCCTTTCACCCACTTGAAAGCTCATATAAGGCTTTCAAGATTGGAAAGCTCCCAAGTCAAAGTATCTGTCCTGGGCTATGACAAAATGAGGTTCATCTCTATGAATATCATAAACCAACCTAGAGTTAACTGCATCCAAAACTTCCTAATGCATGATGGAAGTGTTCCATTTTTTCATGGGGAAATGGTGAACCAGCGAATCCTTTGAGTAACTGCTGAATTGAATTTTTTTTAATTCTTTGCTCAATCAATTGTCCTACTGTCTGAAAGAGTGGGTTCACAACATTTGCAGCCACTGAGAAGTCGATTGTTAACTCATATAAACTCTTTTATCTAACACTATCAAAATTAGTGGTGTGCTTCTCTGAATATTTGTCCTGAGAGTACATGCTAGCAGGGATTCATCAGACTTCTGATATTTCTCAGTAAAAAGTCTTGATTTTTTTCCACTCTGAGTTTCGTGCTAACTGACCATGGTCTCATTATACATGTATAGCCTTTCAGACAATCAGAATTCTTAATAGAGTTATGTTGAAAATGAGCATGGTGTCTCTCCAAATGACCATGAAGCCTAAGTTTTTCTTATATTGGGGAAAAAACTGGTCTTCCTTTTTTCTGTATGAATCTTTCTGCTTCCTCCTTTCTATGTCTAGTTTTTATCTGGGGTACTAAAAATTGTCAGAGGATATATTGTTTGCTAATTGTCCTTCTTCTAGACACTGTCTATTCATTTAGCCAATTGCCCCATGCAAATGTCTATTCCCTCCAAATTGCAGAAGTAGAATATTTTCCCCTACAATCTTTTTCAAAGATCTGGTTTCATATTAGTGACACATTGGAAACTATCCCTGCATTAAAACTTCATTATGTTGTTAAGGCAGCTTAACTTCAAAATGAATTTTAAAACTTTTCTTTCCCTTTCTCTTGGGTTTCAAGATATAACATTGAAAGGAACTGCAGAAGCCTTGTCTCCTAGCCTTAAGATAGACTCCATGTCCCTCCTTTTCTCACTGTATATGCTCCCTTCACATTTATTTAACTGTATTCCAATGTCTAACTATGTGCCTTCTTAGCAGTTCCAGGGGCTAATCTTGACACAGACAGACTAAGCATGGAGACCAAGTTGCAAAATTCAAGAGATTACTTCAAGGCAGATAGTCAACAACATGGCCATTGTTGAAATGAGGCCAGCCTGAGATTCAGGTGGACTGGGACCCAAGATAGCCACCAGAACAAGATACACAGACATTGTATTCAACACAATTATTGCAGGTATTCCATATCAAATTTTCCCTTTTTAAACTCCTGTCTCCCCAACTCCTGGATGCAAATTAAAGTGGTTGCTTTGGCTGGAAATCCAGCCATTTCCCCTTTAGTAGCTTTAGTTAATAACATCACTTTCTACCAGACCTTGCTCTTCTTAATTGGACTCAGCAAGCAGTGAGCATTTGAACCTGTGTTAGGTTATGGTGTTTTCTATAACCTCAGTTTTCTTGTGAAAAACTGTCTTAACCATTGTGATACATGGGCCTGAGAGTCAATAATGCTGTTGGCCCAATATATATAGTAAAAGGAAAGGTTGAATTGTCAATAAGTATCAAATGTGTTTGGGATCTTTCCAAGGACCCAAAGTTACTAATATCCAAAAAGTTGCAATGAAAAAACAGTCACAGGTTAAACATTCTTTCTTTATAGAACTCAGATTTCCAGATGCAATTGCACCAAAATGATTTTTATCTCCTGCATTTCGACCCACTTTTGTTTTGAAATCTAACAGAAGATGTTGGTTCTGAGCAGTATAAATGGAGATACTGCTACACAAAAGAAAGCCACTTTAATTTTAAAATATTTCCACTTTATAGTCATTGATTAGTGGCTTTTTGGACTGGTTTTGATTATCTAGACAGCCAGGGATCCTATAAATCTATAAAGACCAAATTTACTTAGAGTCAGCAATCTTGATAAATCAAGTGTGACCTGCTAGAATTATTTTATAAATTAGGGCTGTCCATTAACTTTTTGTTAGTAAATAATATTGAGTGTGTGTTACAAATTCTGATATATAGAATTTCTCCCCACAAGCACATTTGACTTCCATTGTTTCTTCTTCTGAGACATCTATGGTAGAGAAGTCCATGATAATAGTCCTCTTGCTAACCACCATTTTCTTCCCACATGTAAAGGTCATTTTTGAATTTATGGTTTCTGATAACCAGATCGAGTAATTTATAATAAAAATATTAAATAATTTTAAGTACATATATAAAACCATTATATATGACATTTTTGTTTTACTTTACACCATATTATTATCACTCATTAAAAATTATTACCTTATCAAAAAACAAATTTTTATTTTAATTATTTCTCTTCAAAAAATTATTTAAGGATTTAATATTTACGGATATTGAAAAATGTTTTAAGAAATAATTATTTCACTACATATGTATGTATTAAAATATTTGCGCTTGTATTATAAAATGATACATTATATTCTAAGGTTTTATTCCAATTAACATCTTTATGTAGAAAATTAACATGTAGATTTTCCTGATGTAGCCTAAAATATTTTATCTTTATTAAATATTATTTTTAAAATCTAAAATATAATTTTCCTTTAAGTATAAACAAAATGGATTAAATGTCTACCCACTCCATAATTAAACTGTAAGAACATTGCATCCCTTAAGAGCAGATAAGATCAGTAAAAAAAGTACGAATATAAAATATCTTAGCAACATGGTAAAAATAACCTAATTCAGTTATAGACCGTACCAAACAATAAGAAAATCCCTGTTGTTTTCAATGGCATTGGATACATTTACCAAAACTAACCATATGCTGTGTCATTAATTATTAAAATCATTAAAATATATTCTTTTTCTATGTAATACCGTAATACCTATGCCCATCAAAATCAGGAAAAAAACACTATTAAGTATCCTATGGTTAATAAATATTAAAAGAAAACTCCACGAAAGATAATTAGAAACATATGAAGCTAGTGGGATGCAATTTAACTTTTTCAGAAAACAAGTTATAGATTTAACTGCATATATTTGTAAAGTAATGAGGTAGAAATTCAGTGATTAAATGTTCCATCTCAAGAAACCAAGAAAATTAAAATAAAATCAGTATAAAAATAGAGAGTGGATCAAATCATAAAAATAAGAACATAAATTCATAAAATATATTTTAGATGTATAATATAATGAAGTTGAAACAGAGCTATTAGTTCTTTGAAAAGATTATTAAATTTAACAATTCTTTCATAAAACTGAAGAAAAAATTAATGGAAAAAATGGAAAGTATCAATGTCAGCAATGCAAATAGGGACACCCTCATGAATATAAAAAGAAAATAAGAGGTAACTTAAACAATTTTAAGTCAATAAAGAGAAAGTTTTGAGTAAATGGGGAATTCTTTTAAAAATAAATGTATAACTCACGCAGAGATATGGAAAATTTAAAAGGCTCTAAACATTTTTAGAGAATCAATTAACTTAAGAGAACAGGCCATCATTGATTGCACTAAATTTTCAATATACAGTTATTGGGAACAAGAAAAATAGTAAACATTTCTTGTAAAAATTGATAGAGCCAAGTGTGAAACAAACTTTGTCTATCAGATATTTTGTGAGAATATTTTCTTAATCTGGTCAAAGTTCTGAATGAACTATCTTTTGAAATGGACCTGAGCAAGATTTTAAAGATATGATGACATTTTCTAGAAGGAAAAAAATACTGTCCTTTCTGAGGTCTGACTGTAACTTCTGTTTCTATATTAAGAAATGCAAAAGTTCATAGCTCACACATATTCATTTTTAATACATTTATATGAACTTCTCCAAGCTGCTCAGCCTCCAATTACTTTTTTTATTGCTTTATGGAGAAAGTGCTATATTCTAAAAAGACAATGCCTAGTGTTAAACCGAATTTTGTGTTTTACAAGGAAAATTTATTTCCAAAGTGATAGTACAAAATGGCTACTATGACTTAAATAAATGACACCAGCATTGAGAAACATAGTTTTGTCATTGCGCAAGAAAGGTCATTTTTTTCCTCACCAGAATCAGTTAGGATAGAAATAAAGAAGAAAATTAAATATCTTAATGTGATAGAACAGATTTATTTTTCTAAATATTTTATCTTTTACTTCAGTCTCTTACTTCAAAAGCTTGAAATTCAACTATACAGAGTTGATTAAGCCCAATACTTTTTATTCAAAATTATTCTAGCCATACTCACTTCTATGTATATATATGGTAACTTTTAGTATCTTTAGAAATGTTCACACAATCTGGAGCAATGAAATTCATCAAAATATATAATTTGTAGGATGTAGAAAATATTATTTCACATGTGACTTATTATTATACATGTGAGAATCATATGGTAATGAGCTTGTTACATCAGATAGTGCAGAAAAATTAAAATATATTACAAAACTCTCATTCTAAAGCTTGTATAATAATAGAAAAATAATATGGTTTAGAGACAATTTTTTGTCAAAACAATGTAATTACATACATTCCATCCCTTTCTGACAAGAGAGGTGTTTTAATATATTGGTGGTTTGTTTAAAACATTTTAAACTACATTCACATCTCAAATAATCACAAACCTATAGAAGAGTTGAAAATATAGTGAAAAGAACTTTTCATTTTTGAAAACAAAATGAAACAAATTGCAGTCTGATTCCCAGAAACTTTAGTATGTATTTTCTCTCAAGCAGGACATGTTCCTGTGTAACCGTAATACCTATACCCATCAAAATCAGGAAAAGGACGTTGATCAACCATTCCCATCTAATCCGCAGACCATATAAAAATTTTGCCAATTGCTCTAATAATGCCCTTTCTAGCATTATTCTAAAATAATTCAGTTTGGAATCACTCTTGAATTTGTCATTTTCCTTTAGTCTCTCCTTCGATCTGGAATGCTTGTTTAACTTTGATTTCTATGTCTTTGGCACTTTTGAAGACTGTAGGCTAGTTATTTTTTTAAGATATTTTAAATTTAGGATGGTTTAACGTCTCCTTGTGTTTAGACTCAGGTTATAAAAAGAGATGCTATGTTCTTATTGCATCCTATCAGGGGCTCACAATTCTCACATGCCTCCTTATTAACGACATTTATTTTTTAATGTATTTTTAAATACACATATAACATTATATGTATTTATAAGGTACAACATAATGTTTTGAAGTATATATACATATTCATTTAACTCTAGTTGAGATTTTTACTAAATTATCATCTTCAAGGTTTTGGAAGCTACATGCTTCTCATACTTTATCAGAAATTATTTTCATCCTCGCCTGAGTTCGTAGCAAACTTCTAATGATGAGAGGAGATGTGTGTGAATCTGCATGGAAAGGAGAGAGAGCACAGACTGTGAAACTAGCCAGAACAGGCATTTCTCCTTCTAGCCCGGATACTTCATTTATTGAAAGAAATCATCTGTTAATAATTATATTTCTTTCTCTTTTATGAAGCATTGTTTGTGATGCATTTAAACATTAACAAAATATTTGTTTATAAATGAAAGGTAAAGTGGATGAATAATTAAACACAGATTTTTAATTACTAGTACACAGTTGGGCTTTGACAACTGCTGTGTGTGTTTTGTTTTAGAAGCTGCTGTTATTTTTTTAAATTGCATGTATTTACTGACCCTATCTTAATATTTGATGGCTTACTTATTTTCCAGGGACTGATTGAGAGGTTGCAGGTGATGGCATATAATAAGATAATACTTACAATAATAAACACAATAATAGTAATATTTATGATGATGATTATAATATTATGAAATAGAACACTATATTGTCTATTGCAAGAATCTATGCCACAGAACAAATAATGTATAACAAACACAGAAAGAGATGATTAATATGCAGTATAGTCTGAGAAATAACGAGGTATTATATTGGTGTAGTTAGTAATTGCATTGATAGTTGTAGTAGTCGTATCATTTTCTTTTCTCTTTTTCTCCCTCTGCCTTTCCTTACCTCTATCTTTATCTCTACCTTTTTCTCTCCAGATATCAACGATTATCTTTTTATTATTATTATACTTTAAGTTCTAGGGTACACGTGCACAACGTGCAGGTTTGTTGCATATGTATACATGTGCCATGTTGCTGTGCTGCACCCATTAACTCGTCATTTATATTAGGTATATCTCCTAATGCTATCCCTCCCCCCTCCCCCAACCCCACAACAGGCACCGGTGTGTGATGTCCCCCTTCCTGGGTCCAAGTGTTCTCATTGTTCACTTCCCACCTATGAGTGAGAACATGCGATGTTTGGTTTTTCGTCCTTGCGATAGTTTGCTGAGAATGATGGTTTCCAGCTTCATCCATGTCCCTACAAAGGACATGAACTTACCATTTTTTATGGCTGCATAGTATTCCATGGTGTATATGTGCCACATTTTCTTAATCCAGTCTATCGTTGGACATTTGGGTTGGTTCCAGGTCTTTGCTATTGTGAATAGTACCACAATAAACATATGTGTGCATGTATCTTTATAGCAGCATGATTTATAATCCTTTGGGTACATACCCAGTAATGGGATGGCTGGGTCAAATGGTATTTCTAGTTCTAGATCCCTGAGGAATCGCCACACTGACTTCCACAATGGTTGAACTAGTTTACAGTCACACCAACAGTGTAAAACTGTTCCTATTTCTCCACATCCTCTCCAGCACCTGTTGTTTCCTGACTTTTTAATGACTGCCATTCTAACTGGTGTGAGATGGTATCTCATTGTGGTTTTGATTTGCATTTCTCTGATGGCCAGTGATGATGAGCATTTTTTCATGTGTCTGTTGGCTGCATAAATGTCTTCTTTTGAGAAGTGTCTGTTCATATCCTTTGCCCACTTTTTGATGAGGTCGTTTGTTTTTTTCTTGTAAATTTGTTGGAGTTCTTTGTAGATTCTGGATATTAGCCCTTTATCAGATGAGTAGATTGCAAAATTTTTCTCCCATTCCGTAGGTTGCCTGTTCACTCTGAAAAGGTAGTTTCTTTTGATGTGCAGAAGCTCTTTAGTTTAATTAGATCCCATTTGTCAATTTTGGCTTTTGTTGCCATTGCTTTTGGTGTTTTAGACATGCAGTCCTTGCCCATGCCTATGTCCTGAATGGTATTGCCTAGGTTTTCTTCTGGGGTTTTTATGATTTTAGGTCTAATATTTAAGTCTTTAATCCATCTTGAATTAATTTTTGTGTAAGGTGTAAGGAAGGGACCCAGTTTCAGCTTTCTACATATGGCTAGACAGTTTTCCCAGCACCATTTATTAAATAGGGAATCCTTTCTCCATTTCTTGTTTTTGTCAGGTTTGTCAAAGATCAGATGGTTGTAGATGTGTGGTTTTACTTCTCAGGGCTCTGTTCTGTTCCATTGGTCTATATCTCTGTTTTGGTACCAGTACCATGCTATTTTGGTTACTGTAGCCTTGTAGTATAGTTTGAAGTCAGGTAGCATGATGCCTCCAGCTTTTTCTTTTGGTGTAAGATTGACTTGGCGATGCAGGCTTTTTTTTTGGTTCCATATGAACTTTAAAGCAGTTATGTCCAATTCTGTGAAGAAAGTCTTTGGTAGCTTGATGGGGATGGCATTGAATCTATAAATTACCTTGGGCAGTATGGCCATTTTCATGATATTGATTCTTTCTACCCATGAGCATGGAATGTTCTTCCATTTGTTTGTATCCTCTTTCATTTCATTGAGCAGTGGTTTGTAGTTCTCCTTGAAGAGGTTCTTCACATCCCTTGTAAGTTGGATTCCTAGGTATTTTATTCTCTTTGAAGCATTTGTGAATGGGAGTTCTATCATGATTTGGTTCTCTGTCTGTAATTTGTGTATAAGAATGCCAGGGCAATCAGGCAAGAGAAAGAACTTAAGGGTATTCAATTAGGAAAAGAGGAAGTCAGATTGTCCCTGTTTGCAGATGACATGATTGTATATCTAGAAAACCCCATCGCTTCAGCCCAAAATCTCCTTAAGCTGATAAGCAACTTCAGCAAAGTCTCAGGATACAAAATCAATGTGCAAAAATCGTCAACAATTATTTTAAAAGTCTTTTTAAATGAGGTGATGTTAATATTAATATTGACATTAATATTAAGCTTATTCTTTAAACGCAGAAAAATTTGGTTTTATAATGGTTGTGGTATGAGTGACATGTGGGAAGTAAAACTGAAATAGGACCCCGGAGTCAAGTTGTAGAAAGTATTTTGTCAAGTTAATTAGCTTGGGTTGTTGCTCATAGTTGGTAATAGGTTATAAATAGAGAAATGACCATAGAAATTAGCATTTTTGATGAATTTCTTGACTAACACTAGTGAGATTAAATAATGCATTAATTTAATTGACTAATTTCACAGCAGTTTTAAAAATTAGTGATATAATGCACAAATGCAAAATGAATCTATACTTCTTATGTTTCCCTTTTTATTGCTAACATACTGGTATCAAAGATTTGTTGTCTTTAAAAAGAAGTATTTCTTCTTTTTATATATATATATATATATAAATAATATATATATATAAACTTCCATGAGTTTATTTTTAAAAATTTGATAAAGTAAAAACAACTACATAAAAGCAAGCTTAGATAAAAGTAAATGGGGTCAATACATATATGTCTTATGGCTGATGCTGATAGTGTTTCTTGTGTGAATTGGAAAATTACTATTATTTTTTAATTTGGCATATGGTGTGGCAAATTACATGCCTGTGAACATTGGGCACCATGCAATATATTATCAAAAAAAAACATTATCTCTTTTAATTCCCATAAATGACTGCCACCTCTTTTCCATACGCATATATTTGCTGAGAAATGAAAAAATAATTATTAAAAATTCTACTGATAATCTAAACCCTCTAAATTGAAGAAAACACTAACTTCAATTACATTGTTGGCAGGTAAAAAATATCGTTTGCTGATACAACAAGAAGATTTTACTCTTGTGTAATTATTTTAGGAGGACCACTGGCAGTAGTGCTCAGGAATTGGCATTTAACTGCGTGCTGCAATGACATTTGTCTGCAGATTCTTGAGGAACTTATTCAAGAACAAATCCATAATTGTATAATCAATTTTTAAACCGGACTACCCATTTTAAAAACAGTTAAATTATTTTAAAAATTGGGTTAGAGCCTAAACATCTGTTTTTCCAACAAATGCTGAGAAGAGTAAATCTTCATATTATGAATGTTACTTTACCTTTGCTTTCTTTAAAACGGAGAAACTACTTCTTTAAAATGGAGAAAGACATTTATATTTTTTCTAAGAATATTCAAGGCATTTTATTATATTAGTCTAATTTGCATTTTGTCTGAAATCTTAATGAAAAGTAACAAGGTTTTTTTAACTTTTAAAAAATCCTCTAACTATATAGACATATCTATTCAAGATATTGTAATAATATATTACTTAAGGATTTATTTATGTAATAATTTATTACTCTCTTAAGGATCAAAACTCTATATAACCCATAATTATTAAGACTAGAGAATAAGAACAATTAAAATACAAAAATTTAATATGAGTAATTTAGTTTTTAAAGTCTACATGCCGTAGCATGTAAATTCAAGAAACGTTAATTTCAAGGTAATAGAGCCATGATAAATTTGTTTAGTGTCGGTTTGGGATAAGCCAAGTATAAAATAAGATTGAAGATGGTATTTTCTCTGAACTTCAAAGAGAGCATGGATTAATTTTTAACATAAAGTTAGTAGTTAAATCAGGTGTACACACAGCACAGCTTTGTGATATTAATTACAAAGTTGTGTTTTCATTAAGCCTGAGAATTGAAGCAGGTCTTTTTCTTGTATAGTAAAAATAAAATACATCATATATTAATAATAAAAATGTTACGTGGTAATTTCTACAGCTATATAATTATAACAAATTACTTGAAAATGAAATTTGTTCCTTAAGATGCATATTTGAAGAAATTACCATAAAGACTTGTGTATGCTTATCTGTGTTATGATATGCGTGTAGAAAAAGTCTCATTCACTGACTAAATTATCATTACTATGAATAGATGAGGATTTGCATATATTTTCATGCAACAAAATATTATATTAAACTTAAATTCATTACCTAACTGCTCACCAATTATATGTGTGAGTATGTGTGGATAATCAAGATCTGTGCCTGTTATATTAAAATCTTTATATATCTAAATATGTAATATATCATCCTAACATTTACTTATTTAATTTTTGGGTTGATCCTGAAATTTATTTAATGTAAATTGATTAAACTCACCAATTAAAAGGCAAAGATTGATAAAATGTAATTTTTTAAAAAAGAACAAGTTTCCATTGTTATAAGAGACTCATTTTAGAATCAGAGACACAGTTTGAAAACACAAATGGAAATTTATATGTAAAACATATACAAAATAAAAGTAAAGAAATAAATCTGACAATATTTAAGACCATGGTTTGGGATTTAAGATAGAAGAGAATTGTTATCTTTACCCATTTCTGTCAGTTAAAATAAACTGGGGGCGGGGGTGGGTAAGGACAAAGGAAAGATAGGAAAGTCACATTTGCTATGAAACAAGAAAACACATAATTCAAACAAGAGATTATATAAAGAAGGCAAACTAGATGGTATAAAACAAAATCCCAGGAACAGGGTGATCATGCAGAGAAGAAATATATGTGTGTGTGTGTGTGTGTATGGCGTGTAGGTATATTGGACACATATGCACAAAAGTAATATATAAAAATTAGAATCTGAAAAAATTATACTATGAAACAGATATAAATTTAAAAAACAGCATGATTTTATGGAAGATGGTAGGAGGCTTTAGAAACCAGTCCTTCCATGAGAATAATTATTGAGCTGGCAAGAACTATCAGAATAAATTATTTTCCAACACTGGACTGTGGTCAAATACTTGCAGTGTCCACTGGAATGCTTATTGAAAAAATAGTTTGATGTATTTTGACTTCTTGTGTTTAATATATATTATTTATATATATAATGGTTAAATATATATAGTGGTTATATTTAACATTGTATATACATAGTGTTTATGTACATATTATATGGAGAGAGAAAGGTAGATTTAAAGAATGGCTTACAGGATTGTTGAGGCTGGCATGTCTGAGATTTGTAGTACAGGTTAGCAGGCTAGAAATTTAGGTAAGAGTTGATGTTACAGTCCTTAGCCCATATTTCAGACAGCAGTAAGATAGAGACTTAGGCAGTATCAGTTCTCTCTGTTGCCATTTTAAGGATGATTTCTTCCTCTTTGGGAAATGTCAATCTTCATTATCAATAAAAAAATTAAATGTAAATTGATTACTCACCAATTAAAAGGCAGAGATTGATAGAATGTAATTCTTTTTAAAAAGAACAAGTTTCCATTGTTATAGGAGACTCATTTTAGAATCAGAGACACAAATAGTTTGAAAACACAAATGGAAAAAAAAAGTATCCCATACAGATAATATTCAATAATAACCAAATAATAGCTAGAGTGGCTATACTATTATAAGACAAAGTAGATTGCAAGTAAAAGTTGTTGCAAGAATCAATGGACAAGTATTTTGATAAAAAGTTCAAATCATCAAGAAGTCATGACAATTATGAAATAAACAGAAAACAACACAGTCCTAAAATATGTAAAGCAAAAACTGACAGAATTGGAAAGAAATATGCAATTGTACAAAAATAGTTGGGGATTTCAAAACTTACAACAAAACTATACAATTATAAAAATGTATGCAACTGACCTAAGGATAGGCCAAATGTAATATAATTAAGAATAAACAAATAAACATTTATGGCCAATAGATATTTTACAAGGGTGCTAAGACCATTCAATGGGAAAAGACCAGACTTCAGTAAATACTGCTAGAACTTGATAAACACATGCAAAAGAATAAAATTGGATCCCTACTTCATTTGATATTCAATAATCAACTTAAAATGAATCAGCGACATAAATATAACAAGAAAAATTATAAAACTCTTAAAAGAAAATGTAAATGTAAATCCTCATGACCTCATATTTATCAGTGGAATCTTAGATTTGACAACAAAACATGAGAGACAAAAGAAAACAGATAAGTTAGACTTCATTAAAATTTTAAACCATTGTGTACCCATGAACACTATTGAGAAAGTGAAAAGACAATCCACAGAATAGGAGAAAATATTTGCAAATTATACATTCGATAAAGGTTCTGTATGAAGAATATAAATGGTTTACAAAACTTTATCAACAAAAGATGAACAACACAATTTAAAAATGATCAAAGGACTTGAATAGACATTTCTCTAAATAAGACATACAAATGACCAACAAGCAAATAAAAAGATGTTCAATAGCATTGGCATTAAGGAAATACAAATCAAAACCACAATGTGACACAATTTCACACTCACAAGGATGATTATAATAAAATGAAAGAAAAATAAGGGGTGTTATGTTTGCCACCTTCACCCCCACAATCAATTAGACCAATCATTATCAGTCCTCACTCTTTTCCATTCAGTTCCCTCTTTATCAACATATTTTCAGGCTTCAGTAGTCTGTAAATTCCATGGTGACATGATTGACAAGTGAACCACCTAATCCGGGGCTTCATAACTCTTAGATCTGTGGACTTCATATCTGCTCAAGGTAACCTATAATGTGAATAATCCAACCACCTAATCATGGGAACCTTTAGATCTCACTAACATGTCCTCTCATAAGCATTGGTTACCCACTGACAATGCACCCACACCACTATTATTTCTTCAGGAAAAATTTTCCATCCTCATGGTGGTCCAGTCAACCCTTTCAGCCATGCAATAGCATAGCAAACCATTCCATATTAGGAGACATGCTGTGCTGCTTCTGAAAGTCATCAATAAGAATCACCTGGAACAATCATGCTATTGTTCATCAGCAGAAGAATCAGTGGGTACACAGACACCCTTCCTTCAACATCTGTAGAGAGATATGCTTGGGTTGAGACACAATTCTGTGCAATGTTGGTCTGGCATCAGTAGATAAACCGTTCCTTTTGTGGCTCTTTCATTTCAAAATGAGGGATAGTGGTTGGGACTTCTCTTGGATTAAGACACAGAATAGTCTGAGTTTAGGAGCTGCATATTTAGCAATTTCCTGGAATCATTCAAAGAATGAAAAAAACTTAATTTTAGTACCACGGGAAGAGAGTTTAGGCAGGATTTATAAGTTAGTAATCAATTGGAAATATGGTTCGCAAACAATAATGTATTTCTCCAAAATTTTTCACTGTAGTATGTAAGTTTGGTTTGTCATTATTGTATAAAAATAACCACATATTTTAAAATCAAAATAAACTTTCTATCACTTTTTAAACTTCAAAAATTTATATCAGAGTTTGAGTTGCCTTTACTCTCTATCAATATCCACAGTCTTTTGATAATTCAGAAAAGGATGTAGACTCTGGGAAGCTGCATTTAAAATAAAGGAGAATTAATTAAATCACTGCACCTTTTGAATGCAGAATATAATTAATAGCACTTCCACATTATCAATTTATTATCAACTTATTACAGAGGCCTGGTCATTCATAAGGGCTCAACCCTCCACTTCAGTTCACAGCTTTCTAATGCAATGATACTAAATTCATTTACATTTTGAAACATTTAAATGAATAAATAAATATCTACTTTGGCCATTTCTGTTACTGCATAAAAGCAGTGCTTTAATAAGGTATTGTAATTAATTCACGTTAATTATAAAAATTATACCACTGAACATTTAATGAAGAGTCCAAGAGGCCAAGACCTACATTTTTTGAAAATGTAGGACAATCTGAATAACTAACCTCCAGAGAGAATGTTGAAAACAGACCTAAGTTTAAACCATGACTGTGACAATTATTCTTCATTGGAATACTTTTCTATGCCTCTAAATTTTGTCTTTTAGATTGGCAATATGGCTTTTATTATATGTAGTAATAAAATTATTTTATTCAATAGTTGAACTGTTAAATACTGGATGTTCTTCTCTAGACCTTTAATGTTCAGAGCTTAATACAGATTCATAAATATACAGGTTAACCAACCACTGTTGATAGTGCCTTTGTTTATGTTAAAAGTAATGCAGAGAACATCACGAGACACCAATGGCAAACATTTCTCTTGTAAAGGGAAACAAAAAAAATTAAAGAGAAGCTACTAGAGACAAAATAGCTTAACATATAGAGGAAAAATGTGCCCACATAATGAATCAAATTGAGTCAACAACTTTTAGCCTTACTAGACAAAGTATAAACTGTCAGCATTTATATATTTAATTTTTATACCTCTGTGTTATTTACATTTTCATAGCGTAGAGGTAACTTTTAAGTATTTTTTTTTCTTGAATACGTGGGGGATAGATAGAGATCCTCTTAGAGAAATAAAATTTTAAATAGTGGTTAAGTACTTCTGTACTTAATATCCATATCAGTTTTAAACAGATGTTACCATCTGTTTTTAAAGCCCTTAGGAAAATTTAAACTATGTTTTAACTATAAACAGAGGACAACTTATTTCTCATTAAAGAGGGGGAGAAATTGATGATGTAGGTAAAAGCATTTAGAAAAAATTGCCAACATTTCTCCCATTAAATTACCGTCAATCAGTATTGATTATAGAGACTTCATATTTGGAAAGCATTTAGTTCATTTTATGCTCACTTATTTGCAACATTTTAGCCTTTTATTAAAACAATAGGTGTAATAAAGGTAAATACAATAGAAAAAGTACAACTTTCAAAGAAATGAATGTGAGTAGATTACCTTTCTCATTAATAAGAAAAATCTTAACATCCTAATAAATTAAAAAAATCACATTTGAGTTGATGTAATAAGAGTACATATGGTTACAAGACAATTTTTTAGGCTCACCAAAGACAAAACTCAAAAAAATGTTAAAAATTTTATTGATTATCTTTCCTTATGATGCTACCTCACACTCTCCATACATACCCCAAAAATAAAAACCTGCCTTTTTATTTGACTGTTCTGGAAATTACAGCTCTTGGAGATATTTGGTCCATCATCTCTTTCTTTATTATATTCCTGTCTACTTAACGAACACCATGTCCTATGGAAAAGTAGGCAAGGACAGTTTTCTCCATTGCATGCACATGAACTAACTCATATGCCAGGACTTTGTTCCCTCTCATTTTCAAGAGTCTTCAAAGCATTGTCAAAGCCTTCAAACTTTATCCTATGAACCATAGTACACATTGCTAAGAAAACAATATTTAGAAGTGAAAATAATAAAAATAAAACTGTCATAATAAGTAACTTTTCTAATAATAAACACCTATGCTAATTTTCATGTTGGCCACATCCTTTGTTTGACACTCAAACTTCTTCATAACATATATCTTAATTTTCAGATCTGTCACTTCATCCGGCACAGAGTCTATGCAAGCTGCCCTGGACTGTTATCAGCATATACGTATATTTATCTCCTTATTTTCTAAGGTCTAATTTAAACCAATTGTTCTATAAGTCCTTCTTAATATTTCAAGTTGAAAGTTCTCTCTTCCATTTTATTATTTTTGCACTTTCAACATTTACCTTTATATACATTTGTATCTTGATGAAATATCATCTATAATAATTAAATTATCTCTGGGAAGATACTGTGTTCACTCTCCCTGCCACACGATATAAATAGCCATCATATATATGTATATATATATATATATATATATATATATATAGAGAGAGAGAGAGAGAGAGAGAGAGAGAGACATGAACAGATATTTTTCAAAAGAAGACATACAAGTAGCCATCAAACATATGAGAAAAATGCTCAATATCACTAATCATTAGAGAAATGCAAATTAAAGCCACAATCAGATAGCATCTTACACCAGTCACAATGGCTATTGAAAAGTCTGAAACAGACATTGGCAAGGTTGTAGAGAAAAGGGAATGCCTATGTACCATTGGTGGGAATGTGAATTAATCCAAGCTTTATGGAAAACAGTATGGTGATTTCTCAAATAACTAAAAAGAGAACTACTATTCAGCATTCCCATTGCTGGGAATATACTCAAAGGGAAATAAATTATTATATCAAAAAGATACCTATACTCGTATGTTTTTCACAGCACTACTAAAAATAGCAAACAAAGACATGGAATCAATCTAAGTGTTCATTAATGCGAGTTGGGTAGAGAAAATGTGGTATATATATACCATCAAATACAACTCAGCCTTAAAACAAATTAAATTGTGTCTTTTGCAGCAAGATGGATAGAAGTGGAGGTCATAATACTCAGTGAAATAATGCAGAAGAAGAAAGTCAAATACCGTAAGTTCTCACTTATAAGTGAGAGCAAAATAATTTGCACACATGTACATACAAAGTGGAATAATACACATTGGAGACTTTAAAAGGCGGGAAGGTGTGGGGGAAGTGAGAGCTGAAAAATTACCTATTGAGTACAAGTTTTCTATTCAGGTGATGAGTACACTAAAAGCCCAAACTTTACCACAACACAATATGTAGGAATGTAGTAAATCTGCATTTGTACCCCCTAAATATATTTTTTAAAAATTAAAAAGGAGAAATAACAGTGAGACTGATCAATGAATACATTTGAATCTAAAACAAAATAGTCTAAAAATTCTGGAATATAATTATTTCTAACCAAAAATTTGATATCCAGCCAAACTCTCAATCAAGCATTAAACTAAATATGAAGATTTTTAGATTTGAATGGTCTCAAAATGTTCACTTTCCCTGTTCCAACATGTTATGCAAAATAATTGATAAGAAAGATAAATATATAGTACCAAATAAAGAGGAAATCTAACATGAAAAAAGAAATAACAAGAATAATCAAGAAAATGTAAAAGCTACCTAGAGAAGTACATAGAGAGCAACCCGTGCAGACAGTAATAGATTTAGAAATTCAGAAGAGAAGAGCAAAACACCAGAATAGAATGTCTGATAGAGGTTATTTTTTAGATATTTCAGAATTGTATCAGAGTTAGGGGTCAATTAGTGAAATACATAGGAAAATGAATTGAATCACCACAAGGAAAATCATTCACCCCAAAACAATAATAATACAATAAAATAAATGTGCTATTACTTTACTTGGCAGCAAACAATGTTTAGAATTACAATTAAACAATAAATATCAATATAACCAAAAGTCTTTATTAAATTATACTGAAAATACAAAAAAGTTAAATGCTCATGGTTTTATTAAAATATGTAAAAGGGAGTAACATCCAAATTGACTATTGAAGAGATTCAGGAGATAATGTCTAAAATAGAAGTAAAACTAAGAAGCAATTTTATAATATAATTAAAGGGAGGTTAAAAAAAAGAAGATGGAAGGGAGGCAGTCATGTTAGAGGGCACCTTTACTTTCTAAAGCTCTAGTATCAGAGTTGTAAATTTCCCCCAGTCGGTTCTATATATCCAATTTTAGTGGCATGAAAGCACTGTAGAGGTCGCAGTTTGGAATAATAAATGAACAGTGCTCTTCACTGAAATATTCTATCACCCAAAATCAATCTTTTCTAACTTGACTTCATTTTCATGTTTGTCTCACAATCTTAATGGTCAAGATTCTATAGGTTCTTCAGAATCTTCTCTGTATGTTACAGACAGACTGGTGAGTTACAGGTGAATTACAATTGAAACTTTCCCAATAATTTGACTTTTAATTAGCCCTTTAGTAATTAGAGGAACAGTCTATTATGTCCAGAGGTGATGCAAATTATTCTGTCTTTAGAGCAGATGTCTGGAAAAGAGCAAAGGCAGAACTTTAGATTGGGGAATTAAGTGTAGGCTTCTCTTTTCTACTCTATCTGGTAACTTCATCTGGCATCTGTTATGGAAAGTTAATGATCTCTGTTTAGCAGATTTCAAACTCTAAATTGTTTTTCTAAATATTCCTAGTTTTGAGATATTATGATTCTAGTTCATATTTTTACAGCTGCCTTATGGCATTTCTTTAAACATTTTTTATGGTTAGCAATAAATTCTTCCTTAGCGTTTACATAGAACTTTTTCTCCAACAAAAAGAAAGGCAATATCTTAGGGCAACTTTAAAAGCTATAGACAACAGTCACTCATTTGATGCATGCTGTTTGACCATCACAAATTTGATCCTTTGTCCTACTTACAGTTAATTGTATATTTATAAAATTTTAGTTAAGAATCATAGGCTATTTTCAGCTTAATCAATATCACATTTTATTATTGGGCTTTTAAATTATTTGATACCAAATTTTGTTATCTGATAAAATGGTTGTTTCCCAGATGGAGTTAGAATTTTGTTTTAGTCATCCACTCTATGTGAAGGACTCTTGGTTGATCCCATTTGGAATGCAAACTTTCCTTTTCCTTTTCAGATTTCAGTGTGCCCTCACAAAGTATAGCATATTTTTAAATTGCATACACATCAGCAAGAATAGAAAGGTAAGACAGGAATGGGAAGAATGACAAATATTTTACCTACCTTATTTCAACGCAATGATTATCTTCTGACAGGAGGATAAGCCTCACATGTATACTTAATAATTTATCAGAATACTGAATTTACTCACAACCTTATGCTGACTATGCCAGAATGTTTTATGGAAATTCATGGCAAATAGCAGGAGAGAATTATTTTCCATGCCAGATACTAAATTGAATGAGTCATTTTATACAGCAATGATTGAAAGACTCAGAACATAAGGCAGACAAAACCAATATGATTTGTATTAAAAATAAATTTTTCTTTCATTTCACTCAAAATAGTGTTCCCTCAGACTTCTACTAATTATTTCTTTTTCCTTTGTTTCTCATATCTGATCTGTGATGATCACTTCTGTTAAGAGTGGCAGACACATGGAGACTTACTCACTGTGGTGTTCTGTGGGTGAGTCATTTCAACTTTGATGGGTAAAAGCAAAGCAAACCACCACCCAGACTATTTTCTTAAGAAAAAAAATAGGATTATTGATAGAAAAGTCAAAGTTTCAATGAGAACAATTGTATGTGTAACAAATATTAAGCAGCATATTCTCCATATAGATACTTTTTTCCCCCTCAATTCCTGGTGGACGCTTATTTGTTGGGCATGCTTCTGCTTTCCAACATACCTGTCTCTGAAAACAGACTCAGTCCAAGGAAAACTTGTTAATCTGAGCAAACCCTAACATAGTTTTTGTGTAACTCACTCTTGAAATAAATGTGAATGGTAGGATAGTTCACATTTTTAAATTTAAAAAGATTATTATCTTTTAGGGATGTATACCAGTATTTTCCTTTCCCATTGCCTAGCAAGAAAGACAAGTTATGAGCTGGCAAAGGATTTTTGCAATGTATAGAGATTTTTTTAATCAGAGTAAGCCTGCACAGGCCATTCCTTAAATGAACAGTTTTGGGCTTCATAACAGACATCAAGCGCTAACCTAATATAGCATATAGGGAGCAAGAGAACTATCTCAATGCCATAGGCATATATGTTGAGAGGAGTGAAAGAAATATAGCCCTGTTTTTGGTAAACATGTGGATTAAACCATGCTCTGTGTATTTGCCAAGGACTTGTCTTTATCTGCTTGATATGTACATAGCTCAGTTTGATTGAATATTTGAGACCGTATCACAAAAAACTGTCAATAGAAATAGTTCAACTCTTAAGATACCCCAATAAGGACTAGTAGGTTTGAAAATATAGCTGACCACTTGCAGTTTTGTTACTGCATATATATCTACCCAAAGTATATGTGGGTTAATACTTTGGAGCTTCATGCTTTCTCTTCATGGATATATTCTTTAGGAG
This sequence comes from Homo sapiens, assembly GCF_000001405.40. NCBI lineage: Eukaryota > Metazoa > Chordata > Mammalia > Primates > Hominidae > Homo > Homo sapiens. Next base: position 26,294,828 of record NC_000005.10, on the reverse strand, counting down.
TTTCTTCCTTCCATAAAACTGGAAGCTCAGATACTCTTGAATTAACCATCATAAATATGTAACAAAGAATTGGAAACTCTTATGAAAAAGCAGATTATTGGTCTTTCAAAAAACTTGTTTTGGAACATTTCTAGATTTAAAAAATTCAGGCAGTGTTGTACACACAGAACATGCATAATTCAGTGAAAGTAACACAGCTGAGCTATGGGATTTTTTTTATTTAAAAAGTAAAATTGTCAGTAGAAAAGAATCACATAAACCTAAGAAATATTGCAGTGGAGATTGCCAAATAGGAATTATAAACTATATTTACTACAAATAACAGAAACATTATTCTGAAAATTGAGCAATTCCTATAAAAGCAAATTGGAATCTGAGAATAGATTAAGATTTGCTTGATACATGAATGTTTCATATACCTAATTATTCAATATTGCAGCATCAATAAATAACTGATTAAATTTTCTAAAACTCTTACATAGCTTCTATTTCTTTGAAGTCACATGCTTTAAGTAATATTTCAATGTGATACTGAATTTAAGCATTTTGAAGTATAATTAAACACTGTTTTCCTAATTGTCATGCAAGATAAGTCAGTGCTCGGGTATTACGTGAAGCAGAGCTTGTGAGGAATTGCATAGTCACATGTCATGAGTTAGGAAATTGGCTTGCACGAGCAAAAGAAAAAAAAAACACAAAGCCAGTTGAACAATTATAATATGTACAGATTCCTAATTTTCCCATTACCTGCATAAAGAGAACAATCAGAGTTCAAGTCATTTGTCGGACAATAAATGTACATTCATAATTTAGTAGATGGACACTATCTTCCATATTGTTGTCTTTGTACATTCTAATAGGGCAAATGTGAGAGTTACTTATCCAGCACCAGCCATTCTAAATTTGGCTTCCAGCAATTCCTAAGAGTTGTCTGGCATCACATGTTGTCCAAACCTGGAAGTCTTGGTCAGTGTGGGACATTGTAGGCCCTCTAGCAAGCTGCAGAAGCCACAGGACAAATGGGAAACAGAAGCTCTGTGCCTGTGAGAATAGGAAGGCATTTTCTTCTCAACTAACATTATCCAGACAATTAAGACTGAGAGCACAGAGCAATTTTAGAATAGCCCAGTTTTTGCACCACAGTACCATCACTGTTATCGGCGATGTATCTAAAATATGTATCTAAAATATAAAAATTAAAATACAAATAAAGTATGTACTTTGACTTTTCAGTTACTATTGTATGTAACAAATCACACCAAATCTGGTAGTACATATTAAAATTTTATTATTGCCATGATTTTTTTTTATCAGGAATTTGGACAGATGGAGCAATCTTTCTCTGCTCTGTGATGTGACTCAACAACATGGAACTCAAATAGTCTGGAGACATCTTCAATCTCATATCTGAAACTTGATGTGTGCTGGCAGTTGGAACCTCAGCTAAATTGCCATCCCTAGCAACCACACCTAGCCATTTCATGTGGCCTTTCTGCATGGACTATTTTAATTTTCCTCTCAGAATGGTTGCTGGATTCAAAGAAAAATCATCCTAAGGAAAATGAAGTGGAACTTCATGACTTTTTCATGACACAATCTCAGAATTCAAATGCATCATTTTTGCCATATAGTATTGGCCAAAGCGCTCAGAAAAGCCCACAAGGTCAAGAAAGGGCCAAAGGGATCCTCTTGATAGGGACGTTGCAAGGTTCTAGAAGAGCTGTGGAACAAATAATGGATATTGTTTCAACATCTTTGGAACATATAATATGTCCCAGATAATTAGAAGAATGTACATCATACAATTGTATTCAAATTATTGTAAAAAATTAAATTCACCAGATTCATATTTCAATTTCTAGTAAAATTTAATTTATTTGTGCTTGGAAATCATTATTACTCCATGAGTAAGGGAGACTCAGAATAGAGTTAAGAGCTCACTCTGATAAAGCAAATGTGACTAAAAATTTTGGAAGTGCCATATATATAGATGAATATATATTCATCTATTAATTGATGAACATTAAAATAAATGTAGAATGGATATTAACCCAGAACAAAGAGGATAATAAACTCCTTCTCCTTCCCTTGTTTTGTCTTTTCTGGGTTTTGAAGAGATTAAGGCAATTAGAAGTTCTGTTGTAGGAGGTGACTACATAAAGTTTGTTCTAGATAATTATAAGGTAGCAAATAAATACGTATAATGACATGTATTCTCTACATTTCCTTACAAATTGCTCAGCTCAAATCAATACTCTAGTAAGGTAGGCAGTCATTGATTGCATTTGTCCAGATCAGAGTAATACATAATGGTTAAAAAAAAAAACACACAAGAAATTCTAATAATATTTAAGCATTGTGTGTAAACATCTCTTAATATTGTAATTATTTATTGGCAGGCCACGTTACGTTATAGTCATACTATAGAGGTTTTGGTTAGCATTCTAAACATTGCTATTTATACTTTGAGTCAAAAGAAATTGTTGAACTTGTCAGCTTTTTTTGCATCAACAATACAATACAGCTTGACAGATTCTTGGTAAAAATGAGACTTCTTGAGGGTGGGTTGCAAATGACCTAGTAGATCAAAATAGAAGAAGCAAAAATGATGATTTTATAAAGGACCTATTTTTATTGTGAAATAATTTATGCACTTTATTCTTGGTTTCTTTTAATTCCCTTTAATAAAATATGATAATATCTACCCTCTTTAATGCATATATATTTAGAAATTTAAACTCTCACTAATGGAGATATGCAAACTCTCACCAGTATAAATTGTTTAGGACTTACATCCGTTACAATTTATCTGTAGGTTGGTTAAGATTGATTTGTGACTCTATTGCTCTAATTAAACATTTTGAATATCATCATATCTCATTATAGATTTGTATGACTGTTCTATATCTATTTATATCTATACCTATACCTATATCTATATCTATATAACTACAAAGCTATATACACACACACACACATATGTGTGTGTATATGTTTTAAATTAGAGACAGGGTCTCACACTGTTGCCCAGGCTGAACTGCAGTGGCATGATCATAGTTCACTGTAACCTTCAACTACTAGGTGTAAGTAATCCTCCTGCCTCAGCCTCCTGAGTAGGGTCTACAGGCATGGGTACTACTGGCAATGTCTACAGGCATGCACCTCTGTGCCCAGTTGATTTTTTTTTAATTGTAGTTATGGTGTCTCACGCTGTTGCCCAGGCTGGTCTTGAACTCCTGACCTCAAGTTATCCTCCCACCTCAGCCTCCCAAAGTGCTGGGATTACAAGCATGAGCTACCACAGCTGAGCAGATATATGTTATTTATATTTATAAAGTATCCACTACTCGGATCCAAATGTAGCTCACTATTACTTCCACCATCTGTCAAAATACTTGAAGAAAGAAGTCAAAGATACACTCTCAATGTATGTGTTATTCCATATGAAAAAGTCTCCTCTATTTAGAAAAAAAATTTCTCACATTTTTTATTCCCACAGTAACTTTCAAAATATATACATATATATTTCTCACAATATATAGGCTTTTAGAAATGAAAAGCTATTTATCATTGCCATGATGTTTTTAATCAAAATTGAAAAGAAATACACAAAAGTATCAAGGAAGAAAATAAAATATTGACTATATTTTGTAATTTTTGCCCAAATTTACCAAAGAAAAATAACTTCTTTCTGTAAAGTAGTATTTATAATGTAGCATATAGATCATTTAGACTGTCAAAGATAAATGCAAATCATTTGACTACAAAATTCAAATAATCATCAGAAAATACGTCGTTCAATCTAATGAGAACTTATTACCATCAAAATAGGCCACTGAAGCCATTCCATTGAAAGCAAGAATCCATCAAGTTTCTGATATCTGCATGTGTCCCAAAGACCTTCTTAAATATATAACTCATTACTGAAATTAAAGAGAACACTTAAACTAACAAGCCACATTTTTCAGACATGTGGATTTAAATGCCCTTGTTCACATTCTTACTTATCTGGTGGCATGTAAAAGCACATGTGACAGTGGCAGCTCTGGCCCATAAGAACATGTATATTTGAACTGTATAAGCATTTGTTTTCCTGTATCTAACTCAAACCTTCTATGACAGTGTATTTAGAATGCATTAATATATTGACATGTGTTTAAATTATGTCACATTTCTCACCTTAATTACTATAAACTGTATCACTGATCTCTCATTTCTCTTCCATTTCCAATGGTACCATCCATGTTAAGCCACACTTTATGCCAACACCCTCCTGCCTGACCTTTCAGTATGCCCTTTTCTAGCACCAACCAATCTTGATTTCTCCAGTCATAATTTTCAAGGATGTAAAGATCTTAATACATTATTTCTCCTCTCAGAAACATTCACTGAGTTTTTAATATTCGGTTAAAATACTGCTCTGCTAACCATTCTTATAGCAAAACTTATATGTACATGAAAGATATGGCCTTTGTATTTTCTGTGCCTCTATACTTACATCAGACAAAAGTCTGCTTCTCACATGTTATTGAGTGAATATTGAATAAAGGGATTCCTATGCGGCTAGCTAGTGATTTTCTACTAGTAATTTGTAATTAGATGACACTAATTTGAGTCAGCTTCATGAATAGCCTCAAAAGACATACAGAAAACAAGAGGAGACATTTTCCATTGTTTGTGCATAGAAACATCAAATAATTAAACAGCCAGCATGTGTCACACACTATTTAATTTAATTTAATTTAATTTAATTTTTTTATTATACTTTAAGTTCTAGGGTACATGTGCACAACATGCAGGTTTGTTACATATGTATACATGTGCCATGTTGGTGTGCTGCACCCAGTAACTCATCATTTACATTGGGTATATCTCCTAATGCTTTCCCTCCCCCCTCCCCCAACCCCACAACAGTCCCCGGGATGTGATGTCCCCTTCCTGTGGCCAAGTGTTCTCATTGTTCAATTCCCACCTATGAGTGAGAATATGCGGTGTTTGGTTTTTTGTTCTTGCACTAGTTTGCTGAGAATGATGGTTTCCAGCTTCATCCATGTCCCTACAAAGGATGTGAACTCATCATTTTTTATGGCTGCATAGTATTCCATGGTGTATATGTGCCACATTTTCTTAATCCAGTCTATCATTGTTGGACATTTGGGTTGGTTCCAAGTCTTTGCTATTGTGAATAGTGCCGCAATAAACATACATGTGCATGTGTCTTTATAGCAGCATGATTTATAATCCTTTGGGTATATACCCAGTAATGGGATGGCTGGGTCAAATGGTATTTCTAGTTCTAGATCCCTGAGGAATCGCCACACTGACTTCCACAATGGTTGAACTAGTTTACAGTCCCACCAACAGTGTAAAAGTGTTCCTATTTCTCCACATCCTCTCCAGCACCTGTTGTTTCCTGACTTTTTAATGATCGCCATTCTAACTGGTGTGAGATGGTATCCCATTGCGGTTTTGATTTGCATTTCTCTGATGGCCAGTGATGATGAACATTTTTTCATGTGCCTTTTGGCTGCATAAATGTCTTCTTTTGAGAAGTGTCTGTTCATGTCCTTCACCCACTTTTTGATGAGGTTGTTTGTTTTTTTCTTGTAAATTTGTTTGAGTTCATTGTAGATTCTGGATATTAGCCCTTTGTCAGATGAGTAGATTGCGAAAATTTTCTCCCATTCTGTAGGTTGCCTGTTCACTCCGATGGTAGTTTCTTTTGATGTGCAGAAGCTCTTTAGTTTAATTAGATCCCATTTGTCAATTTTGGCTTTTGTTGCCATTGCTTTTGGTGTTTTAGACATGAAGTCCTTGCCCATGCCTATGTCCTGAATGGTATTGCCTGGGTTTTCTTCTAGGGTTTTTATGGTTTTAGGTCTAACATTTAAGTCTTTAATCCATCTTGAATTAATTTTTGTATAAGGTGTAAGGAAGGGATCCAGTTTCAGCTTTCTACATATGGCTAGCCAGTTTTCCCAGCACAATTTGTTAAATAGGGAATCCTTTCCCCATTTCTTGTTTTTGTCAGGTTTGTCAAAGATCAGATGGTTGTAGATGGGTGGTATTATTTCTGAGGGCTCTGTTCTGTTCCATTGGTCTATATCTCTGTTTTGGTACCAGTACCATGCTGTTTCTGGTTACTGTAGCCTTGTAGTATAGTTTGAAGTCAGGTAGCATGATGCCTCCAGCTTTGTTCTTTTGGCTTAGGATTGTCTTGGCAATGCAGGCTCTTTGTTGGTTCCATATGAACTTTAAAGTAGTTTTTTTCCAATTCTGTGAAGAAAGTAATTGGTAGCTTGATGGGGATGACATTGAATCTATAAATTACCTTGGGCAGTATGGCCATTTTCATGATATTGATTCTTCCTATCTATGAGCATGGAATGTTATTCCATTTGTTTGTATCCTCTTTTATTTCGTTGAGCAGTGTTTTGTAGTTCTCCTTGAAGAGGTCCTTCACATCCCTTGTAAGTTGATTCCTAGGTATTTTATTCTCTTTGAAGCAATTGTGAATGGGAGTTCACTCATGATTTGGCTCTGTGTTTGTCTGTTATTGGTGTATAAGAATGCTTGTGATTTTTGCACATCGATTTTGTATCCTGTGACTTTGCTGAAGTTGCTGATCAGCTTGAGGAGATTTTGGGCTGAGACAATGGGGTTTTCTAAATATACAATCATGTCATCCGCAAACAGGGACCATTTGAATTCCTCTTTTCCTAATTGAATACTCTTTCTTTCTTTCTCCTGCCTGATTGCCCTGGCCAGATCTTCCAACACTATGTTGAATAGGAGTGGTGAGAGAGGGCATCCCTGTCTTGTGCCAGTTTTCAAAGGGAATGCTTCCAGTTTTTGCCCATTCAATATGATATTGGCTGTGGGTTTGTCATAAATAGCACTTATTATTTTGAGATATATCCTATCAACACCTGATTTATCGAGAGTTTTTAGCATGAAGTGTTGAATTTTGTTGAAGGCCTTTTCTGCATCTATTGAGACAATCATGTGGTTTTTGTCTTTGGTTCTGTTTATATGCTGGATTACGTTTATTGATTTTCGTATGTTGAACTAGCCTTGCATCCCAGGGATGAAGCCCACTTGATCATGGTGGATAAGCTTTTTGATGTGCTGCTGGATTCGGTTTGCCAGTATTTTATTGAGGATTTTTGCATCGAAGTTCATCAGGGTTATTGATCTAAAATTCTCTTCTTTTGTTGTGTTTCTGCCAGGCTTTGGTATCAGGATGATGCTGGCCTCATTAAATGAGTTAGGGAGGATTCCCTCTTTTTCTATTGATTGGAAAAGTTTCAGAAGAATGGTACGAGCTCCTCCTTGTGTGTCTGGTAGAATTCAGCTGTGAATCCGTCTTGTCCTGGACTTTTTTCTGGTTGGTAGGCTATTAATTATTGCCTCAATTTCAGAGCCTGTTATTGGTCTATTCAGGGATTCAACTTCTTCCTGGTTTAGTCTTGGAAGAGGCCATACACCATTTTAAATGACATTAATACAATGGTTATTTCCAAATAGTCTCTCCCTTTTTAATCTAGTGCAGACATCCAATCTTCAGGCAGTGAGAACAGTGAAGTAATCAGAGAGGGATGGAAACATAACAGTGTTGTTAAGAAAGCAGAAAATTGTAACTGGTTTTTTAGTTCCTGTTTCAACTCCTGGTTGGTCTGGCTTTAACTCTTTTTTTTCATTTTTTGTGAAAAGTTGAAATCTCTTTTCACAGATGAGTCCATTGTCCACTTTAGCCAATACAAGATATGAAAAATGTTCCCAATTCCTTATACATTTTTAAATTCCCTGCTGATGGATGCCAACACTGTTAGAGACAGTGAAAGAATATGAGTTGAATAGCTTTTTTTTAACTTTGGGGCATTGAGATGTCCACATTATTAGTATGTTATATATTGAAGCCAACTTACAATGTCTCACAGTGTAAACCCTCAACAGCCAGGCTCTTGCCACAAGTTTCAAAGCTTAAGAGCTATGTTCTCCTCTTAAAATATTCTGGGTTTTTTTTGGCAATGTGGCCCCGCTCTTCAGGTACAAAAGACTTACATAACTACTTAGCCATATGAATATATTAGAGAGTTACAGTGATAAGAAAAATAGGCATTTCTAATTGGGGGGTGAAACACAATGGATGTTGGAGTTTATGTGACTAACTATAATTTCATGAAAAGTAAGAGTCTTGTGCATCAGAGCAGAGCTCTCCAACTGTGCAGATAGTCTTATATTTAATTTTTTAAATGTATTTATTGTGCTAAGTAATATATAACATGAAATATGCACTCAACAACTTTTTAAGCATACAGTACAGTATTGTTAATTATATCTACATTGCTATACAGTTGATATGGTTTGGCTCTGTGTCCCCACCTAAATCTCATAACTCCCATAATTTCCACGTGTTGTGAGAGGGCACTGGTGGGAGATAATTGAATAATGGGGCGGGTCTTTCCCATGCTGTTCTCATGATAGTGAATAAGTCTCATGAGATCTGATGATTTTAAAAACAGGAGTTTCCCTGCACAAGCTGTCTCCTCTCTTGTCTGTCACCATGTGAGACATGCCTTTCATATTCCACAATGATTGTGAGGCCTCCCCAAACACATGGAACTATGAGTCCAATAAACCTCATTCTTTTATAAATTGCCCAGTATGGATATGTCTTTATCAGCAGTGTGAAAATGAACAAATACAGTAAATTGGTACCAGTAGAGTGGGCACTGCTGAAAATATTCCTGAAATTGTGGAAACAACTTTGGAACTGGGTAACAGGCAGGAGTTGTAACAGGCTTGAGGGCTCAGAAGAAGACAGAATAATGTGGGAAAGTGTGGAACTCCCTGGAGACTTGTTGAAAGGCTTTGATCAAAATGTTGATAGTGATATGGACAATGAAACCCAGGCTGAGGTGGTCTCAGATGGAGATGAAGAACTTGTTGGGAACTACAGCAAAGGTGACTCTTGTTATGTTTTAGCAATGAGATAGGCAGCATTTTGCCTCTGCCCTAGAGATTTGTAGTACTTTGAACTTCAGAGAGATGATTTAGGGTACCTGGCGGAAGAACTTTCTAAGCAGTAAAGCGTTCAAGAGGTGACTTGGGTGCTAATAAAGGCATTCAGTTTTAAAAGGAAAACAGAGCATAGCAGTTTGGAAAATTTGCAGCCTGACAATGCAGTAGAAAAGAAAATCCCATTTTCTGTGGAGAAATTCAAGCAAGATACAGAAATATGCTAAGTAATAAGGATCCATATGTTAATCACCAAGACAATGGGTAAAATGTCTCCAAGGCATGCAAGAGACCTTTGCAGCAGCCCCTCTCATCACAGGCCAGAGACTTAGGAGGAAAAAATGGTTTCCTGGTCCAGGGCCCAGGGTCCCAGTGCTGTGTGACTCCTAGGGACTTGGTGCCCTGTGTCTCAGCTGCTCCAGCTCTGGCTGACAGGTACCAATGTAGAACTCAGGCTATGGCTTCAGAGGGTGCAAACCTCAAGCTTTGGCAGCTTCCATGTGGTGTGGAGCCTGCAAGTGCACAGGAGTCAGGAATGGAGGTTTGGTAACCTGCACCTAGATTTCGGAAGATGTATGGAAACTCCTGGATGCCCAGGTAGAAGTTTGCTGCAGGGATGGAGTCCTAATGAAGAGCTTCTGCTAGGTCAGTGTGGAAGGGAAATGTGGGGTAGGAGCCCTCACACAGAGTCCCTACTGGGGCACCACCTAGTGGAGCTGTGAGAAGAGGGCCACAGTCCTCCAGATCCCAAAATGATAGATCCACTGACAGCTTGCACCATGAGCCTGAAAAAGCCACAGATTCTTAACACCAGCCAGTCAAAGCAGCTGGAAGGGAGGCTGTACCCTGCAAAGCCACAGTGGTGGAGCTGCTCAAGACATGGAAACCCAGCTTTTGCATCAGCATGACCTGAATGTGCAACATGGAGTCAAAGGAGATCATTTTGGAACTTCAAGATTTGACTCCCCTGCTGGATTTCAGACTTGCATGGGGCCTGTAGCCCCTTTGTTTGGCCAATTTCTCCCATTCAGAACGGCTGTATTTACCTAATTCTTGTACCCCATTGTATCTAGGAAATAACTAACTTACTTTTTATTTTACAGGCGCAGAGGCAAAAGGTACTTGCCTTGTCTCAGATAAGACATGGGCCTGGGGACTTTTGAGTTAATGCTGAAATGAGTTAAGACTTTGGGGGACTGTTGGGAAGGCATGATTGTGTTTTGAAATGTGAATACATGAGATTTTGGGAGGATCCAGGGGTGGAATGATATTATTTGTCTCTGTGTCCTCACTCAAATCTCATCTTGTAACTCCCATAATATCCAAGTTTTATGGGAGGGACGTGGTGGGAGATAATAGAATCATGAGGGTGGTGGGTCTTTCTTGTGCTGTTCTCCTGATAGTGAATAAGTCTCACGAGATCTGATGGTTTTAGAAATGGGAGTTTCCCTGCGCAAGCTCTCTCTTCTTTTGTCTGCTGCCATGTGAGATGTGGCTTTCACCTTCCTCCATGATTGTGTGTCCTCCCAGGCACATGGAACTGTGAGTCCAATGAATCTCTTTTGTAAATTGACCAGTTTTGGGTATGTCTTTATCAGCAGTGTGAAAACAGACTAATACAACAGTGAATCTCTAGAACTTTAGAACTTTTTCGTCTCACATGGTAAAATTGTATACCTACTGAGTTGTAAATTCCCCCTCCCCCTCCCGCAGTCTCTGGTAACCACCATTATATGTTCTGTTTCTATGAGCTTAACTATTTTTTAGATACCTCATATAAATAGAATGTTCAATATTTTCCCCTTTTTGACTGGCTTATTTTCCTCAGCATAATGCCCTCAAGTTTCATCTATGCTTTAGCATATGACAAAATTTCCTTCTTTATTAAGGCTGAATGTTCCAGTTTATATACATACCAAATTATCATTCATTTGCCAATGCACATTTAGATTGTTTCTAAATCTCCACTATTGTGAGTAGTGCTGCAACAAATGTAAGAATGCATGTATGTATCTCTTCAATATAGTGATTTCAATTATTTTGTGTAAATACTCAGAAGTGGTTTGAACTACAGTATGATGCATTTGGACACATTTGGATCATACAGTAGTTCTATTTAACTTTTTAAGGACCATTTCCACTGTCTTCCATAGTGGCTGCATCACCTTACATTTCCATCAACAGTGCCCAAGGGTTCCAATTTCTCCCTTACAACCCTTGCTGTTATTTATATATATATAATGACCATTATAAACAGGTGTTCAATAAGTTCTCATTGGGGTTTTCATTTGCATTTCTCTGATGATTGAGCACTTTTTCATAGACCTATGGGCCATTTGTATGTATCTTTGGAGAAATGCCTATTCAAGTCCTTTGCTCATTTTTAATTGACCTATTTGTGGGCTGTGAGGTTTTTTATGTTTATTTTCAGTTTTGTTTTCTTTTCCTTTCTAGTTCTTTGAGTTCCTTCTGTACTTTGGATATTAACCTTTTATCAAATGTATGATTTTCAAATATTTTCTCCTATTCTGTAGGTTGTCTCTTTATTTGGTTGATTCTTTCTTTTTATACACAGAAGGTTTTTAATTTGATATGTATAGTCCCATTTGTTTATTTTTATTTTTGTTGCCTTTGCTTTTACTGTCATATCTAATAAATCATTGAGAAGACCAACATAAAGCTTTCCCTTATGTTTTCTTCTAGGAGATTTACAGCATAAGCTCATGCATTTCAGTTTTTAATCCATTTTGAGTTAATTTTTGTGTATAATGTAAGATAAGGTCTCAATTTCATTCTTTTAATATTTGTTTTCTTATAACTAAATATTCATTACTAAAATGATATTCTTTAATGTTAATTACTGTTAGAATGATATAAGTACTTTATAACATAAGAATACCACATTACTAACCTCTTCAGTATGATGTCCTCACAGAGACCCTCACTCACAACTGTCCCTCTTCACTAATACAAATTTGACCTACATAGAAATCAGTTCATTTATCTGGTTATTAATTTCCTCTAGAATATATGATTTTTCTGTTTAACCTGTTCTTTAGTTGCCTAGCTTCTACTTTTCCTTCATTTAAAATACTAGTTTTACATTCTGCAGTTTGACTTCTTTGTCTACACACTATACCCCAATACACTTCCATAAATTCTGCTTACATTTCCCTGTAATGTACACCTATAGTACCCCCTCCATACCCAGACCATAGCATCAATAAAATGTTTTCTAGATTTCTTTATGTTTTTTGCCTGTTGGCATCACTAGGCTGCGATTGTGTGGGAAATCAATTCTATAAATTCTTGCATTATCTGTATAAAATACATTTTGCCAATATTAGGCATTAGTAATTGTTTGTTGAGTGAGTAAACATCCTGCTACACTCTTTTTGGTCTAGGTGATGTCACTGCATCCTTTTACACTAAGTCCAGTGTCACTACCTTTGGATTAGCATTGCCCTCAATTTGAATTTCAGCATAGCAACTGCCTGTGGAGATTTGAGTAAGCCTTTTTACAACAGTTAATCTTAGCTTTATAATCTATGAAAATTAATAAGCACTTTAGATCCTTTGGATTTAATGAGATCAAGTTATTAAAGATGGATGAAAGAGTGGAGAGAGAGGACAATGAATATGAAGTAGAGAGTATAAAACTGCAATGTAATGTAATTATAACCCTAATGTCTAAGCTATGTGGAAAGCCTTTATTTACAAAGTGTGTAGTTATATATAGTGATACAGGGACTAAAGCAGATTGATGAATGAAAGGTGACAAAATAAGAAAATAAACAACAGAACAATGCTATCTTTACTTTTTCTCTCCCTTCTGTCTTATACTTCCTGTTTGGCTTCCTTACAAAATAAGAAAATAAACAATACAACTATGCTATCTTTACTTTTGTCCCCATTCTCTCTTATACTCCCCTTTATTGCTGCCTTTTAAAAAATTCCACTTATTGCTTGTTGCATTTTTCACTTTGCTGAATTTTCCCATGTGTGGTTGGTCACCACTAGGACTTTTTATAAACGAGGGGTTCTTTCTTTTTCCTTTTTTTCTATCTGCATATTTATCTTGATTTTTTATTTTCCTTTTTCATTTCCTTTCTATTTCTCATGTTGTGCATGATCTCGGCTTACTGCAACCTCCACCTCCCAGGATCAAGCGATTCTCTTGCCTCAGCCTTGTGAGTAGCCGGGATTACAGGCGTGCGCTACTACTGTCTAGCTAATTTTTGCATTTTTAGTAAAGGCGGGGTTTCATCATGTTGGTCAGGCTCGTCTCAAACTCCTGGCCTCAAATGATCCACCCACCTCGGCCTCCCAAAGTGCTGGGATTACAGGCGTGAGCCACCATGCCTGGCTGGCTTATTTCTTTAGACTAAAAATGTTGACCAAATGACTACTTTATCCATCTATTTTAATTAACAAATTAAAAAATTTTGAGTTAATGATTTCTGTTTTGTCAAATGTTAAATCTCTCTTTTTTCCTTTGCTGTCCCCAGCTCTCCATCCACCACTTAGTTTTCACCAAAGTTGCACAAATATACCTTCCTTAAGTCTCTTGGATTTGACTTACTGCTCCCTCAGCAACATACACTTTCTTAACACAATGTACCTGGGCAGTAGGGGAGATATTTCAATGAATATTTATCTTCACCTCACGGTTTGCTAGCTTACTTCTTATAATGAATTTGCTTAATCTCCACAGAAATAAAAGCCTTATTCTACAAAAAAAGACAATCTTACAATCTTATTTATTTAAAACTGTGCATTTCAAAACACATACTTATTTTGAGGCTTTCCTTTACTCCTGTAATATGTATAAATCTATTCAATATATTAATTCACATGCATTCCTTTGAATCTAAGATCATTTTTTAGCTAAATATTTATGTAAAGATAGTCCAAATGAATGTTTCTCTGTTTCTTTTAATTGAATAACAATTTTTCACACTCCTTGCAAATATGAAAGTTTAACTAGGTTAAATTCCAATCCAAGTAATTAAGAGACATCATTTTGGAATTAGTTAAAAGATAACTCATGCTAATCCTGAAACCAAACTACCTAAGTCTATAATTTGATAAAAATGTCTAGTTTTATAGTCAGAAAAGGTGCTAATTATTTGAAGATTTAACAACACGAGATCGTGTCAAATTCCTCAATAGTTACAAAATCTTATAAATAACAAGGTCATAAAATTCTTTACCTTTAGTATAAATATGTGTTCTAAAAAAATATAGCAAGACCCAAATTGGAGCTTAAAAACCGATGAGTTAGTGTAATGCCAAATGCACATAAAAATGGGTTCTGTAAATTTCCCATGAGAGATGATTCATTACTTTGAAGACGTCGATCAGGCAGATGTTATATTGAGTTATTTCCTCGGGTTCCTCTCATTTATCCTTCACTTGCCAGTATACGTGAGAAATACACTTTATGTGGGCTGATGTTCCTGCCTAATGCTCATCTTTTGCTCTCAGCTCCTGGGGCTTTGAACATGCATGTGTCTATTTTTGCAAGGAAATGATGGCATAATTAATTTTTGAATAGTAATGTTCTCTGAGTAATTATTCAGTAAATAATCATCTAGCATTATTCAAAACTGCATACATTTACAAATGAAATAGTTATACTTTGAATTCTTGTCTAAGGCGCATCAACACTTTAAGAGTGAGTTATATTATGTAGGTCTAAATTTGTTTACAATTTTGGTTTTTATTTAATTGTATTAAGGATATTTATTGTGTTCATTAGATTAACCAGGCCTATCCTGGAACCAAGATAGAAGGCACTGTTCATAGACATCTGTGTATTTTCTGAATATAGTTTTAACAAAGGGTTATTAGTCTCTGATACAACTAAACATAAGTGTACATCGCAAATTCAACACTTGCTAAAATACAAAGCTCATTGACATACTAATTCTGATATATTTTAGAAAGGAACAGCAGGATGGAAATCAGATCAATCCTAAATTAGTTAAAATCACAGAATAAAAATCACACTGTGTGTCATGCAATCTCTTCCCTAGGGGTAGCTGAAGTTAATTTCTAAGACTTCAGTGTTACTTATTCTCACTCGAGGATCTTGATATAACTTAATCTTCAAGAATCTTTCCCATGCCATAACTTGAGTGTTTTAGAAAATGATTTGTTCATATAACTCACCTTGGTGGGTTTTAGCATTTTTGTGTTTTTGTGTTTGCCTCCTTGTTTTATCAATGCCACAAGTCATGAGGAAAACGATATTGAATTGTTTGCTGAAGAGCACATTAATCATATGAACAAATCTGTTAGAATGCAATGCATTTAGAAACTTGATATTTTTCCTCAATTAGTCTAATATTGAAACATTGGATTTGGGGTATAAAAATGTGGGTTCAAACCATATTTCTTCTGTGTATCCCTCACTAAGTCACACTGAACAAGTTACTTTTCTGAGGCTTAATGTTTCATCTCCAAAATATTGGAATAAATTTAGAGGTATTGGGAAATCTAGCAGTGATATACATGGATAGATATTATAATACTTATCTATCACAATATAATTTGTAACGTTATAATTAATTACCAAAATTAATAATCTAGGGTGAATGTACAGAGGAGCCTTGAAGTTTCAACTCTTATAAAAACTAAAGTATTTGGTTTGGATAAGGAAACTTTATCTTAATAACTTTAATAAGTAATAGTTATTGAACATCTTATGCCAGACAGTTTTACCTATGTTACCTTATTCCATAATCACAATCATCTTATGAATAGCTCTTGAGATAAAATCAACAAAAGCTGCAAATCACCATATACAGCTTATCTCCTTGGAGTACCTACTTCCCACTAGGATCTGTATATTTACTATATGGTACCTTCAGGGAGCTACATTTTATATTATGTTCACAAATTTTATTTATAATCTATAAGAAAGTCTGTCTGATAAGGCTTTACTGAGAGCCTCACAAAGGGCAGGAGTTTCACTGATCTATTCTTAAAATGTAAATGCGATCATTCTTAAAAGTCACTGAAGGCTTCACATTTTTCTTAGGATAAAGCTCAAAGTATTACTTTTGGCCTCTTCTTAATATCTCTAATACAGTAGAGGTCTCTGCACTTCTTAACATGATTCATTCATGCTGGTTTTCTCTCTTCCTTTAATCTCCTTTTTTTTCTCACTGTCTAGGGCTTTAAGATATGTAGTTCAATTGACAAGAGTGTCTTCTCTTTTCTTCTCCACCTAACTGCTCTGCTGAAACGTGTTTTTCCCAGAAGAGCCAACACTGTTCTCCCATTCAAGATTAGAATACACCCATAAATTTTCTCATACCACTTCATAGTTTTTCCATATATATTTATTATTACTTAAGCCATCTGTTATATTTCCAGGTTTAGGTATATGTTTAATTATAGCAAGAAACATATCTCTTGTATACAGTGGTTCTCAAACAGAAGAAGCTCAGTAAATATTTGTGGAATGAATACAGGAATCCTAAATGAGGCCACATTATTTTACCTCATGTGTGTATTTGTTTGTTCCTTTGGTTTGTGTATTTGTCTGTTCTCACACTGCTCTTAAGAACTGCCTGAGACTGAGTAATTTATGAAGAGGTTTAACTGACTCACAGTTCTGCAGGCTGTACAGAAAGCATGGTCGTGAGGGCTCACAAAAACTTACAATCATGGGAAAAGGGTGAATAGGAAGCAGGCACAATCCTCACGTGGCACAAGAGAAAGAGTGAAGGGGGATGTGTTACACATTTTGAAACAACTATGTCTCATGAGAACTAACTCACTCACTACCACAAGAACAGCAAAGGAGAAATCCACCTCCGTGATCCAATCACCTCCACCAGGTCCCTCCCCCAATATTGAAAATTAACAATTTATCCTGAGGTTTGGGTAGGAACACAGAGACAAATCATATTAATTATTCTGCCGCAAGCGAGTGTAGGCTTTTAGAAGAAACCAGGCAATATCTTGAATGCTTTGCTGCCTAGAAATTTCTTCTGCCATATATCCTAAATCATCTCTCTCAAGTTCGCAGTTCAACAGATCTCTAGAGCAGGGGCACAATGCCACCAGCTTCTTTGCTAAAACATAGCAAGAGTGACCTTTACTCCAGTTCCCAGTAGGTTTCTCATCTCCATCTGAGACCACCTCAGCCTGGACTTCACTGTGCCTATCACTATCCGCATTTTGGTCACAAACATTCAATAAGTCTCTAAGAATTTCCAAACGTTCCCTCATCTTCCTGTCTTCTTCTGAGCCCTTCCAACTGTTCCAACTTCTTCCCATTACCTAGTTCCAATGTTGCTTCCACATTTTGAGGTATTTTTAGAACAATGCCCCACTTCCCTGGTACGAATTTTCTGTATTTGTCTATTCTCACACTGCTATAAAGAACTACCTGAGACTGAGTAATTTATTAGGAAAAAAGGTTTAATTGGCTCAACAGTTCTTCAGGCTATACAGGAAGCATGGTTGGGAAGGCCTCAGGAAACTGACAATCATAGTAGAAGTGTGAAGGGGAAGCAAGCAAGTTCTTCACATGGTGGAGCAGGAGGAAGAGAGCAAAGCTGGAAAGTGCTATACACTTTTTTTTTTTTTTTTTTGAGACTGAGTCTCGCTCTGTAGCCCAGGCTGGAGTGCAGCGGTGCGATCTGCGCTCACTGCAAGCTCCTCCTCCCAGGTTCACGCCATTCTCCTGCCTCAGCCTCCTGAGTAGCTGGGATTACAGGTGTCTGCCACCACGCCTGGCTAATTTTTTTGTATTTTTAGTAGAGACAGGGTTTCACCATGTTAGCCAGGATGGTCTCGATCTCCTGACCTCGCGATCCACCAGCCTCGGCCTCCCAAAATGCTGGGATTATAGGCGTGAGCCACCGTGCCCGGCCAGCGCTACACACTTTTAAACAACCAGGTCTTGTGAGAACTCACTCACTATCATGAGAACAGCAAGGGGAAAATTTGTCCCCATGATCTAATCACGTCCTACCACGTCCCTTCCCCAACATTGGGAATTACACTTTGACATGAGATTTGGGTGGTGACACAGAGCCAAAGTATATCAGTATGGTTTGACTTTCTATTCAAAATTTATTTTTACCACATTAAATCAAGCACTTAATTTTAAATAAAATTACTTATCAAAGCCCTTAATTTTAGCCACCTTTTATCCAAAAGATAAATAAAATAAAGGTGCTTTGGTGTATTCTATATTTTTACATTTTGTTTTAGTGTTCTAGTTTTGTGGATACTTTGGGGAAAATAAGATAATTATTATTAGTCATAATTTATAAAATAATATTCATTAGATTGTCAGTAAATCTTCAGAGAATAAACATTTTTATTTCACTATTATATTTTAAAGGTCATCAAATTTTCAAGAATTTTACATGAAAAATGACTGCAAGTTAATTAACTCCACTGGAGACTAGAGAAGATTAACCAAGAGAAAATGAAAATATGCTATGTACATAGCACATTGTATTGTGATAAACTTATGAAATGACCTAAAGAAATTTTTTGTTTTTAGATTTTATTACTAATTGATGTGTATATGTATTCTCTAAAAAAGTGCATAGACAGAACTTAGCAACACTTCCTCTGGGTTTTAACACATAATATATATACAATATGTAAACTGAATTCCCTATCATGTTTTTGATAAAGCCATTCTCCCAAATCTTTCCATTATGTGGAATTAGTTTTGTTTAAGATTTCTCTGTTCTCATAACACTGTTGTTCCATTTTTTATTAAAATCATTCATGTCAGTTTAATAATTTCATATCTTGACTCCTTCCCTCATAGACTAGGATCTACCTGAGGACAAGAAACACATGATTTCATGTCATTGTCTTAAAATTGGACAGATTCCTTGTTACGATAACTAGAGTCAGATTTTTGTAGACAAATGACATAAGGTAGACTGCAAAGTGATAGATTTTTAGGCATTAGGTTACTTTCCAGACATCTAAGAAAGCATTAGATTAGAAGCTTTGATCAATGTGCATACGAAGAAAACAAAAAAATCTGAAAACAGTTTGGCAGGTACCCAGGAAAAGGCTGAGGATAACACAAATTGCTTTAATGCTGTGAGGTGATATGGAATCTAATAATAGATGGATCTTCTGTTTCTCAACACTCCATCCTACATTTATTAACTTCTGTTTCTCAACACTCCATCCTACATTTATTAACTTCTTTTTTTTCTTTTTCTTTTTTTTTTTTTTTTGAGATGGAGTCTAGCTCTGTTGCCCAGGCTGGAGGCAGTGGCGTGATCTCGGGTCACTGCAAGCTCCGCCTCCCGGGTTCACAGCATTCTCCTGCCTCAGCCTCCCTAGGAGCTGGGACTACAGGCGCCCGCCACCAGGCCCAGCTAATTCTTTGTATTTTTAGTAGAGACAGGGTTTCACCGTGCTAGCCAGGATTATTAACTTCTTTAATGATACTCTGAGAAACTCTAACCCACCAATTCATAACATTAGTCATGAATCAGGCCCTGCTTTGAAAATAGGTGGATACAACAGACTAAAAAATAAAGGCAATTAATCTTGTGCTTTAAGTCAAATGATATAGTCCATGACTATAATAGAAATCATCTAAAAAGACATGAGAGTCAACAGGATAAGTTTTCCCAATTGTTTTAGATTGGTCTTTAGAGTAAAAAAAGTCTAAGAGAAAGGTAAGGCTAGAAATTAAAAGTGATTGGAGGAGATTTAGTGAAAGATAACAACAGCAAGCAGAAATATATTTTTTCCAAATATTTTGAGTATTCACATAAAACAAAACGAAACAAAAACTCTTGGGAAAAATCCTAGCCTAGGTGAAAAATTATCTTCACTCTCCCAAAATGCAAACAGATGGTGACTGACTGTCAACACACACAAGATGTGAATAATATCCACATCTATGTAGTAAAAGGAGTCAAAAAGAAGTATCTGGTGGGCTTCAGAAAACAAAAAACCCAAAAATAGCCAACGGGCCAACGGGCATTCACTAAAAAGTGGTGAAAATGGGCTAGGGGGTTGCTTTTCCTGAAGTTAAGTAAAGCAACAGACAAAGAGCATTATTAGATTAGAAATAAATGAGATAAGCCCCACACGTGCTCCAGCCTAGTGCCTGAGAAATTCCAGGTGTGGTATGCCTAGAACACAGACAGATAATAGCCGACTCCCACATTCAAAGAGACAGAATTAAGAATCTGGCAAGAAAATTAAAACCACAATGACATACCTGCTTACAACAGTCAGGTAACTAAAAACTCAAAATAAATAAATAACCCAGATGTTAGCAAAGGTGGAGAGAAAAGAGAATGCTTATACAATGTTGGTGGGAAAGTAAATCAGTATACTCTCTATGAAAAACAGTGTGGAGATTTCTTAAAGAACTAAAAATAGAACTACCATTTGACCAGCAATTCCACTACTGGGTGTATACCCAAAGAGAAATAAATTGTTATATAAAAAAGACATCTGCATTTGTATGTTTCTCAAAGCACTTATTCACAATAGCAATGTCATGGAATCAACCTAAGTGCCCATCAATAGATGACTAGATAAAGAATATGTGGTATATGTACACCATGGAATATCACACATCCATTAAAAAAGAATGAAATTCCATCTTTTGCAGTAACGTGGATAGAGCTAGAGGCCATTATCATCAGTGATGTAGCTATGAAACAGAACATCAAAAACTACATGTTTTCACTTACAAGTGGTGATGCATTATTTTGTGTTCCTTTGTTCAGCTAAATCCAGGTTCTCGTCTCATGACGAGGAAAAATTAGGCATGCATACACATTGAAAGGTGAGGAGGGTGGAATTTATTAAGTGAAAGGAAAGCACTCAGCAAGAAAAGGGGTTCTGCATGCAGGTTTTCACCTCACAAATTGAATATCAGGCCACCACACATGAGCTGAAGAGGCCAGGCTCCTCCACTGCATGAGGCACAAATTCCCGGTGGCTCCACCTGATTCTCCCAGTGCATGTGGGCCTCCAGTCTATTGCAGGCATGCCCAGGGAAGACCCTGTGCAGGCTTCCTTATCTGCACAAAAACATCTGGTGTACATGCCTGTGGAGTGGGTCAGAGATTCTCTGGGGTGCCTTTCCCTATTTGCCTAGGCATTTGCCTGCCTCCTGCCTCTATCAGTGGGAACTAACCAATGGGTACACATGGACATACAGAGGCAAATAATAGACTCTGGAGACACCAAAAAAGTGTGGAGAGTAGGATGGAGGTGACTGTTAAAAATTTACCTATTGGGTACAACATTCATTATTTCATTAATGGGCAAACTAGAAGCCCAAAACTCACTATTATGCAATATGTCCATGTAACAAACATGCCCATATAACCCCTGAATTTATGAAAAAATAGAATAAACAAACAATAAAGAAAATTAAATAAATATTGTTTAAATTGGCAAGGCCTAAGAATCTGAATTCGCCAGCTTCAGTGAGGTGGGAGGTGCACAAAGGGAAGCCCTGGCTCTGCAGAGGATGTTCAGCAGAGTTCTGATGAGCACAGGACAAAATGACCTGAGGCTGGGTAAATAACCATCTGGAAAGATTGGAAGGAACTGATCAAGAGGACTCCAGCAGGGCTAGGAATATAGCCTATTCCCACCAACCTCACTGGCAAACTTCAAAATTCATGCGGCACTGAGTATTCAGAATGATCTTGCTTCAGTTGTAAAAGATAATTCGCCACAGAATAAGTGGTAAATATTAGTTTCCATCCAGCATATCTAAAATTCTTACATACCTAGTAACAGAGTTTAAAAATGTATGAAGCAAAAAGTGATAAAAATGAAAAGAAGAATAAGCAAATCAACAAACCTAGGGATTGCAACATATATATCTCTCAGTTATTTCTAGAGAAATAAATATTCCCCCAAATCTGCAAGATTATAGTACAGTTGAACGGCAACATCAGCCATTGTGACCTAAGAATTGAGATGGATAAAACACTTTACTCAACAACAGCAGAACACACATTTTTCAAAGGGCTTACTGAATATTTATCAAGATAGTCCATATTCTGAGTCATAAAGTATGTTTCAATGTATTTAATAAGTTTCATATAATACAAGATATTATTTCTGAGACTAGTGGAGTTAATTTATAAATCAATAACCAAAACATATCTCAAAATACTTCATCAAGTGAATAGTGAATAACACACACTTTTAAACAACCAAGTGGGAGGAAGAAGTCAAAAGAATGTTTTTGATCTGAATGAAAATGGAAACACAATATATCAAAATTTGTGAGAAGCAACTAAATAGTACTTGAGAGTGACTTAGAACAAGAAACACCTGTATTAAAGAGACAATTCTCAAATCATTTTCAGGAATTCAGTAAAAACAAATATAGAGGCTGGAAACTGCCCTATCAGCCAAATTGACATAACAGACATTTGTAAATACGCCATCCCAAAAGAGTAGAATATACACTCTTTAAAGTATGTGAGTGCTATTTACCAAGATAGACCATCCCGTGATCCATAAAATAGATTTAAATAAATTTAAAACTATTCAAGTCAGATAAAGTATGTTTCCTGATTACAATATAATTAAATTAAACATCAATAACAGAAAGCTGAAAAATCTCTAAATACTTGGAAACAAATAGTGCACTTTTATTAATAAGCCAAAGAAGAATTCAAATGAAAAATTAACTGTAGTTTAAACTGAATGGAAATGAAAACATATAATTTGTTAAAACAGTATCTAGGGAAAATGAAAAGCTCTGGTGCCTATATTCATTATATTAAGTGAAATAAGCCAGGCACAAAAAGATAAATGTGCATGTCCTCACTTATATGTGAGAGCTAAAGAAGTTTATCTCATGAAAGCAGAGAGTAGAACGGTGGTTTCCAGAAGTTGGGAAGGGTATGGAGGAAAGGGAAATGAAAAAAGGTTGGTTAATGCATACAAAAGTACAGTAAGATAAAAGGAATAATTTTTAGTGTTCAATTGCACAATGGGGTGAATATAGTTAACAATAGTTTATTGTATATTTTATAGTAACTAGAAGATTTGGAATGTTCCCAACACAAAGAAATAATAAATTTTTGATCTGATTATTACATGTTGTATGGATATATCAAGTTATCACATGTACCTCATAAATATGTTCAATTATCTATCAGTAAAAATTAAAAAATAAGATGAATATATCAAAACAAAAGTAGCATATTGTACACATAAACATACACAAAAAGAAGTAAAGATCTCTAATTAATAATGCCAGCTTCCAAATTAGGAAACTAGAAAAAGGCAGTCAGGCAGGCAAATTGAGTCCAAGGAAAGCAGAAAACAACGTAACAATAAAGAGAAGAGCAGAAATCCGTGAAATAGAAAACAGAAAATGATTTTTTAAATCAATGAAATAAAAGCAAGCTCTTTTAGAAGATCAATAATATTGATTGGCCTGCAGCCATACTCATCAATTAAAAAGGAAGGAATACACAAATTGCCTTTTTCAGGAATGAGAAGGGTTACATCACTAGAGATTCTGTAAGTATTAAATAGATAAGAAATATTGTGAGTAATATTTTTGCCAATAAATGCAAAAACAGATAAAAAGACAAATGGTTTGAAGGATGTAAACAAAATGCATTTATGATCAAACAGATAATATGAATAGTCTTATATCTACTTTAAAAATGAAATTTGTGTTTAAAAACCTTGTCAGTGGTTCATGCCTGTAATCCCAGCACTTTGGGAGGCAGGGGTGGGAGGATCACTTGAGGTCAGGAGTTTGAGACCAGCCTGTTCAACATAGTGAAAATCCGTCTCTAATAAAAATACAAAAATTAGCTGCGTGTCGTGGTTCATGCCTGAGTCCCAGCTATTCAAATCGCTTGAGCCTGGGAGGTGGTGGTTTTAGATTGCAACACTGCTCAAAGTCTTTACAGCGCATTTTACCAAATATTTAAGGAGGAAATAATACTTCTACAAAAATCTTCCAGAAACTTGAAAAAGTTATGCTTCCCAGCACATTTATACCAAAACTAGGCAAAGGCATTAGAAAAAAATAAATATTCCTCATGGACTAATATTTCTCATGAATACATATACAAAAATTTGAAACAAAAATTTAGTTAGTCAACCCCCTCCAGCAACATATAAAAATCATAATAAATACATAATGACCAAGTGGAGTTTATCTAATAAATACAATGTTTGCTTAACGTTAAAAAAATCTATCTATATCCCCATATTAAAACATTTTTAAAAGAAAAAATGATTATTTTAATAGATACAGAGAAACATTTGACAAAATTCAACATTCATTTCTGATGAATATACTCTAAGCAAACGAGGGATAGAAGCATCTTTTTTGTAATGTAATACATGCTATCTACAAAATATCTATAGCTTGACTGACATTTAGCAATGAAAGACTTAATTATCTCTCCCTAAGATCAGAAACAAGACAAGAAGGTCTGTTTCTAGTACCCCTATTAACAATGTTCTGGACTTTGCGTTGGTAAAACTAGGTTTAAAAAAAAATGGAAGAAAAGATGAGCCAATTAGGAAAAAAAAAACTGTTTCTGTTTACAGAAGGCATGATCATCTATGCAGAAAATCAAAACGGAATTGACCAAAGATTACGAGAACTAATACATGAACTTTGCAATGTTGCAGAAAACAAGATTAATATAAACAGATTAATTGTATTTCTATATATTAGAGAAAATATTTGAAAACCGAAGCTTAAAAGTAATACTATTTATAATAGTATTAAAATATATGAAATACAATCTTTAGGAATACAGCTGACAAAATGTGAAAGATACTCTTTCACTGAAAACTACTAAATATTGCTAAGAGAACTTAAATAAATGGAGATGTGTACCGCATTAATAGTTAGAAATGTTCAGGAGTATTGACATGGTGACTATCCCCTATTGGTCTAGAGATTCAACATAACCCCATTCTAAGTCCCAGTGAGTTTCTTTATAGAAACTGACAAGCTGCTTTTAAAATTCATATGCAAATTCAAAGGAAATAAAACTTTGAACAGCTTTGAATAAGAGGAACTAATACTTCCTCATTTAAAACATCATAACGTTGAAGTATTTAAGACAGTGTGTTGCTAAACATACAGAAATATATAATGAAATAGAGCATAGATTTCAGAAACAGACAATACATATATGAAGAACTTATTTTTGACAAATACTTAAGGATCAGCGGAAAATTGATAATATTTGTATCAAACAGTTAGAACTTTCAGATATCCATATGCAATAAAATTCACTATGATCTCTGCTTAGACTAACACCATAAAAAAATTGAACTCAAGTCTAATAAATGAATGTGAAACCAAAACCGCAAAGCTTCTATAAGGCAACTCTGGAGAAAATGTTTGCACTTTTGATTAGGCCATGATTTCTTAGACATGACACCAAAAATCACGATTCGAAAAGATACAGCATCAAAATTTAAATCAGCTGGTGTTAATGTAAACAAAAGCACAGATCTGAGGAAAATATTTGCAAATGTATAAAGAGCTCTCAAAACTCAACAATGAGAAAATGAATAACCAAACATAAATTAACAAAATATTTGAAGAGATAATTACCAAAGAAAATATATAGATGGCGAATAAGCACATAAAAACATGTGTCAACATGAAAACTAATGAAATACCACTTCACACTTGTTAGAATGATTAAAATTAAAAATACTGAACCTAACAATATTGATAAATTTGCGTAGGAATTTAAACTCTCATAAACTTTTGGTGGAAATTGAAAATAAAATGGTACAACCACTTTGGAAAATGGTTTGACGTATTCTTAAGTTAAACATGCACATACCATATATCACAGCTATTCCACTCTTAGGTAGTTACCCAAGGAAAATGAAAGCATAACTTGCAGATAATTGCACAAATAATCATAGCAACATTATTTGTCATAGCACACAACTGAGAAAAACCCAAATGTCTATCAACAAATAATCAAACTATGGTATACAATGCAATACTGTTTAGCAATTAATATTCTGTATGATTCCATTTATATAAAATTAAACAAAATACATGCTAATGTATAATGGCACAAAGCAGATTGGCGGTTACCTAGAGAGAGGGACAATTGCAGCAGAGAAGAGCAGGAAGAAGCCTTTGGAATTGATATTTTATTATTTTGATTTTGGTGAGGGTTTCATAAGTATATACATATGCCATAACATTTGATCTCATAAAGTGAAGAGAAATACCATGTGTTATATTATTCATTAAGATATGGTTTATGTATGAGAGATGAAGATGATAACATGCTTAGTCACAAATTATTTTGAATATAAAATATCAAGTTCCTAATAAATCAATTTTTTACTTATGCTGAGTTCTCAAAAAACTGTATATTGAAGACAGAAAGGCTTAAATAGGTATTAAAGTACACATAAAAAGTCAAGAAAATACACAATACATTCATTACAAAACAGTGGCAGAACACCAAGTGAAATACAATTTCTGAGTCTGAAAAGTTATATTTGTGTATTGACCTCTATAAACAAAAAAGCCTGTGTTGAATGAAGTATGTTTGATATTCAGACAAATACTAGTTTTTTAAGATACTGGAGGTTTTTTGTTCTATGAAGAATGATATAAACCATATTTAATTTAGAAGAACAGCACAGTAATTTGAAATATTCACTATAACATTGAAAATGGATCAAAATAATAAAGCATTATGTGTAATTAAAAATAAAATTACAGTAAATGGCACTTTATTTCATCTTACTAATGCTTAAGGAAATTTAATTGTGGGTTTTGGTACACGAAGCATTACTAAAAGTCTGAGAAAAGTCTTCCTGTGTTAAGGAATGTGATGATGCAGGGTTAGAGGCTTTCAGCACGCCTTTCAGCATGCCTCAGCCACTTGGAAACAACAAGATAGTACATCAAGATCAACTCTGAGCTTTAATTAAAGAAGAAAAATGGGAATCCACCAGTATCATAAAGGACATCCCAGAAATCAGAGAGAAAAATGCCAGCAAACAGCCCCCATGATGGTATCTGGCTGATAAAAGGGACTGAAGCCCCCAGTACATGAGAGAGAGACTTACCTTTCCACTGGGGATCCATACAGCACAGGCCAAGGCAGAGTGTTTTGTTTCTTCCCACACCTGAAGCTAACTTTGGGAAAGAATGAAGATGCTATTAGAGAAAGAGACCAGGAAAAGCTGAAGACATTTTCCTACACGCAGACCTGAGAGCATGACACCGTTTTAAATCTGGGTACATATAAAGTCAGTCATTCCTTGGTGGACTGACAGTGTGGCTGAACAGGCATTTTAGTCTCAGGACAGGGACTGTAACACCTGCTCTGGAGCCCAGTAGGGGCCTCCACAGCCAGAACTGTTGAAAGTGCCCCAGCAGTAGGGCTGGAATTGTGCTGTCCCTCATGGCAAGCCTGGGGCAGGAGGAGACCTGCGCCAGCTGCATTTTCTCCCAGGTGGTATGACTTGCAGCCAGGGACAGCTTAGTAACATGAAACTGATCTCTGTGTGCCATTGTTTGGTGTCCCACCCTGCTCTCCTGAGATCATGGTGTAGCAGGGGCCTCTCTGCTCCAACCACAGGCAGAAATACAGGCATTAAGAACATCCACTTGCCTAGACCAGCAGCCTGTACTGCCCCACCATTCCTGGACTTAGATCATGGTGTAAGGGTGCTCTTTATGTTCATGCCCAGGCAGATCTCCAGGCATTTGGAATGTCAGCTGATCTGGATCTGTAGCCTGGGTCACCCTACTCATCCTGTGCAGAAAACTTGGTGTGCAGTGATCCCTCTCTGCTCCAGGACCAGGCAGATATCCAGGGATCTGGAGCATCCACTCTCCTGGATTAGAGGTTTAGGCCACCCTCATCCCCATGCAGAGAACTTGGAATGGAAGAGGTTTCCCAGCTCCATGCCTAGCATGCCTTTGGTGCTTGGTGGCCACCAAATGGATTCTTCTTCAGCGCTGGTTGGTGCTGATGCATGCCACTGGGGGCCTTATAGGTGGACCTGCATGATCTGGCTTTGCCCTTTGTGGCTCCTACCCCTCTGCACTGAGCAGGGATCTCAGAGCACTGTGTATTCCATGAATCAATCCATTGCCTGAGGCGACAGAGAGATTCTGCTGTAAACAAGGATTATGTATATACCCTATCACATTGGCCAGCTCTTACTTATAAGAACCATCTAAGGGCATGTAGGTAAAACTGCACAGCCCAATGTAAAACTTTCTGAAAAAGTTCATAGGGCTATAGAAGCAAGCCAAAAATTCTACCCAGCATCTCTACATTCACACTCCCTAGGGAAGGGGTAAGGGGAAAGGGAAAAACATAATATTGGGGTGGGGAGAGAAAGAAACATAATTTTACAGGGAAAGAAAGAAAAAAATATATACTGTTTCAATCTTTTTTCATACTGCCGATAAAGGCATACTCAAGACTGGGCAATTTACAAAAGAAAGAGGTTTATTGGACTTACAGTTCCACGTGGCTGGGGAAGGCTCACTATCATGGCAGAAGGTGAAAGGCACATCTCACATGGTGGCAGAAAAGAGAAGATAACTTGTGCAGGGAGAGTCCCCTCTTTGAAACCATCGGATCTCATGAGACTCATTCACTATCATGAAAACAGTGCAGGAGAGACCCACCGCCATAATTCAATCACCTCCCACTGGGTTTCTCCCTCAACATGTGGGAATTATGGACATTACAATTCAAGATGAGATTTGGGTGGGGACACAGCCAAGCCATATCACCTACCCACATACAAATTTTAAAATTAGCAGTGCCAGTGTCTCCAGATGAGAAGGAACCAGTGCAAGAATTCTGTCACCATGAAAAATTAGAATGTAGTAACACCACAAAGGATTGTACTACCTCTCCAGCAATGGTCCCTAGCAAAAATGGAAACTCAGTAGTGACAGATAAATGATTAAAAGCCTGAAATGCAAGGAAAATCAGTGAGATCCAAGACAAGGTTGATAATCAACACAAAGAAACTTCTAATGCTATCCAGGAAATGGAGGAAGAAATAAACATCTTGAAAAGAAATCTATTAGCGCTTCTGGAATTGA
The DNA here is from genome assembly GCF_000001405.40 of Homo sapiens. NCBI lineage: Eukaryota > Metazoa > Chordata > Mammalia > Primates > Hominidae > Homo > Homo sapiens. Next base: position 26,265,712 of record NC_000005.10, on the reverse strand, counting down.
AAAACTAACTTAAGAAATTTCAAAATACAATTGAAAGCTTTATCAAGAGACTGGACCAAGCAACAGAAGAAATTCAGAGCTTGAAGATCGATCTTTTGAACCAACCTAGTCAGACAAAACTTTCCAAAAAAGAACTTTTTAAATGAATAAACTTATCAAAAAACATAGGATTATGTAAAGTGATCAAACCTGTGAAGTATAGATATTTTGGAGATAAAAAGTAATCAACCTGGAAAATATATTTGAGGAAATAATTCAAGAAAACTCTCCTAATTTTGCTAGATAGGTAGACATCCAAATGTAAGAAATCTAGAGACTATCAGTGAGATATTAGACAAAATGAACATCACCAAGGCATATAGTCTCCAAACGGTCCATTGTCAATACTAAAGAAAAACTCTTAAAGGCAGCTAGTGATAAAGGATAAATCACATACTAAGGGAACCTCATAGGGCTGGGTGCAGTGGCTCACATCTGTAATCCCAGCACTTTGGGAGGCCGAGGCCGGCAGATCACCTGAGGTCAGGAGTTCGAAACTAGCCTGGCCAACATGGTGAAAACCCGGCTTTACTAAAAATGCAAAAAATAAGCTGGGAATGGTGGAATGCGCTGGTAGTCCCAGATATTTGGGAGGCTGAGGCATGAGAATTGCTTGTACCCAGGAGGCAGAGGTTGAAGTGAGCTGAGATCACAACACTGCACTCCAGCCTGGGTGACAGAGTGAGACTCTATCTCAAAAAAAAAAAAAAAAAAAAAAAAAATCGGGGCATGGGAGGAACTTCATAAGGCTAACAGTGGACTTAGTGGACTTCTCAGGAGAAACCATCCAAGCCAGGAGAGATTGGTGGCCTATTTTCAGGATTCTGAATAAAATAAATTCCAACTAAGAATTTTATATCCCTCAAACTAAGCTTTGTAAGTGAAAGAAAAATAAAATCTTTTCCAGAGAAGCAAGCACTAAGGGAATTCATTAACAATACAAAAGATCCTTACAAAAGATCCTTAAGGGAGTTCTCAATGTTGAAACGAAAAAATGATACTTGCTACCACACAAACACACTTGAGTACATATCCTGCAGATCCTATAAAGCAACCACACAATAGAAACTAGAAGTCAACAAGCTCACAACTTCACAACAGCTTCTAAACCTCACTTATCAATATTAATTTTGAAAGTAAATGGTGCAAACTCCCCAATTAAAAGGCACAGAGAGGCAAGTTGGACAAAAAAAAGAAAGAAAGAAAGACCCATCTATCGGCTGTCTTTAAGAGACCCATTGCACACATGATGACACTTATAGGTTCAAAGAAAAGGAGAAAAGGGTTGAAGTAAGAGCTACAACAGAAATAGAAAACAAATATGAGCAAAAGTCACTATTCTCATATGAGATAAAACAGTCTTTCAACCAGCAATGGTATAAAAGGGTAAATAAAGGCATTATATAATCATAAAGTGTACAATTCAACAAAATGAGTTAACTATCCCAAATATATAAGCACCCAACAATGAAGCACCCAGATTCATAAACAAGTACTTCTAGACCTATGAAAAGATTTAGACAGCCATATAATAATAGTGAGGACATCACACCACTCTGACAACAGTAGACAGATTGTTGAAGCAGAAAACTTACAAAGACATTATGGGCCCAAACTTGACACTTGACCAATTGAATCAAATAAAAATATACAGGATACTCTACCTATCAACCACCAAATATAGATTTTTCTTATCTTTACATGGGACAAAGTCCAAGATCAACCACATAATTGGCCATAAAGAAAGTCTTAATATATTTTTAAAAATCAGAATCATACAAATCATACTCTTAGACCACAGTGCAATAAAAATGTAAATCAATTCCAAGAACATATCTCAAAACACACAACTACATGAAAATTTAAAATCTTGCTTCTGAATGACTTTTGGGTAGACAATGAAATCAAGACATAAATTTATTTGTTTTCAAATAAATGAAAACAAAGACATAACCTACCAACATCTTTGGGATGTAAGCACAGCAATGTTAAGAGGAAAGTATAGCACTAAATACCTACCTCAAAAGGAAAGGTCTCAAATCAACGATCTAACAGCGCACCTACAGTAACCAGAAAAACGATAATAAAATAACCCCAAAACTACCAGAAGAAGAGGAATGGCTAAAATGAGAGTAGAAATGAATGAAATTAAGACCCAAGAATCCATATGAAGAATCATTAAATGCAAAAGTTACGTTATTTGAAAGGATAAAAAAGATTGATAGACAGGTAGCTAGATTATCAAAGAAAAAAGGAAAAAAGATTCAAATTAGCACAATCAGAATCTACAAAGGTGATATTTCAATGAATTTCTCAGAAATACGAAAGAACCTCAGACTAATATGAATGGGTACTTCTATGCACACAAACTAGAAAATCTGGAGGAAATGGATACATTCCTAGAAACACGCAACCTCCAAAGACAGAATCAGGAAGAAATTGAAGTACTGGACAGACCAATATTGAGTTCCAGAATTGAATCAGTAATAAAAAACTTACCAACCAAAGAGATCCCAGACCAGATGGATTCTAATTCTAGCAGATACAAGAAGAGTTGATACCAATTCTACTGGAACTATTCCAAAAAAAATGGAGGATGAAATTCTCCCTAACTCATTCGAAGAAGCCAACATCACCCTGAAACCAAAAACTGGCAAAGACACAATAAAAAATAAAACTACCAGCCAATATCCCTGATGAACATGGACACAAAATCCTCAACAACATACCAGTAAACCAAATCCAACAGCATATCAAAAAGTTAATTCACTATGATCAAGTAGGCTTCATTTCTGAGATTCAAGTTTGATTCAACAAACCCAAATCAATAAATGTGATTCACCACATAAACAGTACTTTTTTAAAAAACATATGAACCTCTCAATAGATGAAGGAAAAGCTTCCAATAAAATTTGCCATCCCTTTATGATAAAAACCCCCAATAAAGTAGGCATCAAAGCAACACACCTCAAAAAAAAAGAGACATTTATGAAAAATCCACATTTAACATCACACTGAATGGATTAAAACTGGAAGTATTCCCCTTGAGAACTACAACAAGACAAGGGTACCCACTCTCACCACTCCTATTCAAAATAGTACTGGAAGTGCTGGCTACAGCAATTAGGCAAGATAAGGAAAAAAGGCATCTAAGTAGAAAAATAAAATAGGAAAAGAATTCAAACTATTCACCAAAAAGCCATTAGAAATGATAAAAAAAATCAATGTGCAGAAATCATTAACATTTCCTTACACCAATAACATTCAACTGAAAGGCAAATCAAGAATGCAACCCCAATTACAATAGCCACACACAAAAATAAAATACCTAGGAATACATCTAAAAACAGAGTAAAAGATCTCTACAAGGAGAACTAGAAAACACCACTAAAAATCATAAATGACACATAACATGTTCATGAATTGAAATAATCAATATCATTAAAATGGCCATACTCCCCAAAACAACTGACAAATTCAGCACCATTCCTATCAAATGGCCAATTTCATTTTTCACAGACATTGAAAAAGAAAACTATTCTAAAATACATATGGAACAAAAAAGAGCCTAAATAGGCAAAATAATACTAATTAAAAAGCACACATTGAAGGTATCACTTTAGCTGACCTCAGAATATGCTATGAGGCTACAGTAACCAAAACAGCATGGTAGTGGTACAAAAACAGATCTATGGATCAAGGGAACAGAATAGAGAAACCAGAATTAAGCTGCACACTTAGTGCTATCTAATCCTAAACAAGGTTGACAAAAATGAGTAATGGTGAAAGGCCTCCCTATTTAATAAATGGCACTGAGGTAGCTGGAAAGCCATATGCAGAATAATGAAACTGGACCCCTACCTTTCACATATACAAAAATTAACTCAAGGTGGGTTAAAATCTTAAATGTAAGATCTCAAACTATTAGAGTCCTGGAAGAAAACCTAGGAAATATCTGGACACTTGTCTTGGAAAAGAATTATGACAAAGTCCTCAAAGGCAATTACAACAGAAACAAAAACTGATAAAGGATCTAATTAAACCAACAATTGTCTGCATGGCAAAATAAACTGCACACAAAGTAAACACCCTACAGAATGGGAGAGAGTATTCACAAACTATCCATCTGACAGCGGTGTAATATCCAGAATCAGTAAGGAACTTAAACAAATTTACAAGAATAAAACAAACAACCATATTAAAAAGTGAGCAAAGGACATGAACAGACACTTTTTAAAAGACATACACATTATTGACATACACATTGTCAACATACATAGGAAAATATGCTCAGCAACACTAATCATTAGAGAAATGCAAATCAAAGCCTCAGTGAAATATCATCTCACACCAGTCAGAATGTCTACTATTAATAAAGTCAAAAAATAATGGGTGTTAGTGAAGTTGAAGAGAATAGGAACATTTATACACTGTTGGTGGGAATGTACATTAGTTCAACCACTGTGGAAAGCAGTTTGGAGATTTCTCAAAGAACTTAAGACAGAATTACCATTTGATCCAGCAATCCGAACACTGGGCGTATATCAAAAGAAAACAAATCATTCTATAAAAAAGACATAGGTACTTGCATGTTCATCACGGTGCTACTCACAATAACATAGGCGTGGAATCAACCTAGGTGCCCATCAATGGTGGACTGTATAAAGAAAATGTGGTATGTATACACCATGGAATACTATGCAGCCACTAAGCAGAACTAAATTATGTTCTATGCAGAAACATGATGCAGCTAGAGGCTACTAGCTGTAAATTAAGGCAGTACCAGAAAACCAAATACCAAATGCTCTCATTTATAAGTGGGAGCTACATTTCAGGTACTCATGGACATAAACATGGCAACAATAGACTCTGAGGACTACTAGCAGGGAAGTGGTGGAAAGAGGGAGGAAGACAAGGTTTGAAAAACTATTGGGAACTATGCTCAGTACCTGAGTGATGGGATCATTTATATCCCAAACCTCAGCATCATGCAATATACTCAGGAAACAAACCTGTATATATACTCCCTAAATCTAAAATAAAAATTAAAAAATTATGGAAATATATAAAAAAAGAAAATGATGATATAGATTTTCATCTAATTTTACTTGAAATATGTGGCTTTCCTTTTCCTTGATAAATATATACTGAATTAAAAATATATTTTTATAATAAAACCAAAACATTATAATGCTGACTGCATTTTCTTATTTTGGGATTAATAGGGTAGCAAAGGTGAACTCCATCACAGTAAGTGGCATGCAACTTAAATTGTGCTCAAGATAAATTTGATACTATTACTCTTGCATGCACATAAATGTAAATATGCACTCCAGCTATGTATGAATAGTTAGAAAGCTTCTGCTTCTGAACAACATTGCATTATTTTTAAAGGAAAGAAAGACATTTTCAGGGGTAACCCCAAAAGCAAGTCAGTGAAATGTCAAACACCTTTTGGCAAGTGGTCAAAAGAAGAATATTGAAAGGTGAATGACCAGAGCTCACTGTTATTAATAATCTGTTACAAAATGATGAGATTTTGAAATAATGGGCAAGAGCACAATCCTGAAAGTCAATGGGATTATAATGATGGAAGTATTGTAAAGGAGTTAATATTATAAAGGAAGAGTATGATTCACATTTATGGTGTTAAAAATACTGTGGTAATCACCAAACCTATTTACACCTCAAATAAGTGAAAGCTTGCTTTCTCTATTTAGCTTATCAAACTTTAAACAAATTGCTGGGAATAACACTCTTTTATGAATATTCACCTATGTACAAAGGGTACTTGGTAAAATTTTAACCTCAATAAAGCCAAATCCCCAGGCACATTCTGAAACCACTTAGTTAGTAGTCCAAGAAATGATATTAGTTTCACTTTGGGAAAACAAAAACAAAGACAAATTTCAATTTTTACTCAGAATAGTCTTAGCGCCAACTTTTTCATTTATCTTCCAAAAATACCATGGTATTAAACCAGCTGAGGTTTTTGGTTACTTATTGAAAAATTCTTTTAAAATGTTATCTTAGGATGTGCATGTATAGACAATAAAGACCACATAAAATAAAATAAAATAAATATTTAAAACACCTGAGGTTATTTTGGTTGATTTTATTCACTGTATATTTTGTCTTTAGCATTTCAGAGTGTAATTTCACTCTGTTGTGAATACAGTATTTTGCAGCAGAGTGATTTCATGTTCTATTAAGAAGCAATTATTTTTCAAACAAAAAAATCAATTATGATTTTGGAGTTTTACCCTTGTATTTGTCTAAACTTTACTCATCCTTGTCTCTGGCAGTAGAGCAGACCATACTTTAAAGAAAGGAAGAGTTTTGGTTTAAACAGATGGCTTCCTGTCCTCCCTGATTCAAGGGTCACCATAGCAACGAGGAAAGAGGAGGTGTTGCCTAGCAACTGGAAATATTAATGAAGAGATTTCCAAAATGTATTTAGGGAAAAAAAGTTGTTGGAAGAACTTCAGAACTTGGCATAAATGCACACCAAAATTTATTTATGAAACAAGCTGAGTACATAATCACAAATCTGGAAGCCATAATGCTTTATAAGGGAAAAATATCAAACAATGGCCTTAAAAGATTTTTTTCAAAAAATGATATTTTTGCATTAATAACATCATTTATTGACAAATATAACAAAGTAAAATCACCAATTTTTTTCTTCAGATGTAATATTAAGGTAGGCTAAATTAATTACAGAATTTATTACTATTCTATGCTGTAATACAACTTGACATTCAAGGTAGGATCAGGAATTTAGCTAGCTGAACTTTACACTATGTTTGCTAATACACATGAGATAGTCATTCAAAACATTTCAGGGGTTCTCTCTCAACCCCCTGAAATAGGCACTGCAGTTACAAACTATCAATGTCTATGTTGACTAAAAGCATCTTTTCCCTTTGAAAAAGTTTTTCTTAGTAGCATTTTACCCTGCATTATGTTTTGAAGTTAATCTTAAAAACGTGGTTCATGCAAGCTTTTTTTTAGATCGGTTAAAATAGAACCAACCTGAGTCTCTAAGGGAGATATGTAACTATCTTAACATCTTTCTGTGTTCCTGTATAGAAACATAAATTTCAATAAATAGTCTACATCAGATATGAAACAATTATGTTTATATGGGTTACATTACTTAATATATCTGTTTCTTTCAAATGTCTATCAATGTTTTTGCACTAGTTTTATAATAACTGTATCATCATCATACCACAAAAATTATTCTTCTATGATTTATTGGAACTTATAGAGTACCAATACTTTGCTAGGCACTATAGTAACCATAAACATATATTGCTAATCTTTACAAAATGTCTGTAACTAGTTAGTGTCTCCAATTTAAGATGAAATTATGGAGATTAGGAAAATTTAACCAACACAGAAGATAGTGCAGCATACTATTCATCAACATTTTCTCTGAACCTGAAAGATAGGAGCTCAAAACTCACCTCCATGCAGTCCTATGCAAGATATTAAGTCATTCTGCCCCTCAGTCTTTTCACTTTACAATATGTGTTATCAGTCAGTATTCGGTCTTCAAGACTTTGTTAAGGCCTAATACATGCAAAGCAAAAGTAAATGGATTATAAGAATTGAAGGAATTAATATACATGAAGCTCTCAATAATGCTAGCACATGCATTGATGTGTGCTGCTTTTGTTGCCTTTTTATGTTGCTAAAAGTTGTCTGACTTATTATTGAGTAAGCTATCCATATAATAAGGGGCTCTTCTGGTACTTAAATGCCGTTTCTGATTAGCAGTATAGATACTGATTTATAAAGGTAGTTAAATATATGTTATATTAGTTTATGGAAAGGATAGAAAATATTTAGTTTTAAAACAAATTTCAAGATTCTTTAAAGTTGTTTTCTTATGTATAAGAAAGTTAAGACCCAGTGATATTAAAGGATTCATCTAAAGTAAGGAAAAAGGATCAGTGTCTTTCTTCTTAGCTCATTTTATTTACTAAACAGCTAATATATTACAGGCATCAGAATATGCACTTTAATTGTATGATCCTCTCTTCTGCATCCACAAAAATGTATGTTAGAAATTATTAATTTTTCATAAATTGCCCTTTTGCACATGTGAAAAGTAGCAGTAACTAGTTTCACGCCTGTGTTAGTATTTTTTTTTTTTTGCTGCATACCTAGATGTTGGTCAAATGATATAAAACTTTCTGTTGAACTGGAGGAACAAGTTCAAGAAATCTATGGTACATTATGTTGACTGTAGTTAAAAGTGATATATTGTACCCTTGAAAATTCCTGAGAGTAGATTTTAAGTATTCTCACCACACACACACACAGAAAAGGTACATATGTGAGGTAATGCATATGTTAAATAGTTTGATTTAGCCATTTCACTATACATACATACATACACATATATACTGTATTAAAACATCATGTTGTATACTATACATACATATATATATGCACACACATTGTTTAATTTGTCAATTTTAAATATTAAAAATAAAATTGTTTAAAAAGGATTAGAGTGATACCCACTTGGTATCTCATAATAAGGTCAGAATCAGCTTCACTGGTTGAGTTCTTTTAAAGTCTCGAAGGCTGAAACCAAAGTGTAACAGGGCAGGCATTTGCCTGCAGGCTCTGAAGAAGAATCTGCCTCCAATCTCATTTGGTTTATTAGCAGAACCAGTTCTTCGTGGCTATAGGTTGAGGTTATTATTTCCTTCTTTCCTTCTTCTTTTTAAAAGTTTTTTCCAAATATCAGTTAGAGGCCACTTTCTGCTCCAAGTGGCTGCCTGTGTTATTTCTCAACTCCTGGTTGTCTCCATCGTCAAAGTCAGCAACGAAGCACTGAGTACTCATACCTACAACCTCTGACTTTCTGCCACTAACCAGAAAACTGTCTCATTTAAAGGGTTCATGCATTTAAAGTAGGCCCATCCAAAAATATCTTCCTATTTTAAGGTTAACTGACTAATAACTTTTATTATATCCACAAAATCACTTCTGCCATTTAATGTAGCAATCATGGAGTGACAACGTTTCATACTGATAAATTCTATTGACTTAAAGGGGAGAAGATTCTACAATGGGAGATCATTGGGGTTTATTCTTAGAACTCTGCTTATACAACAGTATCCAGATCTATTATATGAAAGAGCATTCTCTAAAACATTGTGTGATAATGTGAGACAGTATTAAAGGTGGTCTTAATATGTGTCTGAATAAATGCTGGTTGAACAGGCGTTAGAATAATATATTTGGTGGACTCTAAAATTAGATGGAAAAAGAATGCCTGTATGTTCACAGGTTCGTTTTGTTCCAAATATCATTCTCTCTTTTATGCTTTCAGGTTGCTATCAAGTTATCAAAATTAGCTGGTTTTGGGCTCCAAATTTAAAATACACATAAATCACTGAAAGCAGTAGGATTTATCTTACAGGTCTCTATTTTTTTCTGAACTCCAAAAAAATTATCTATCATAAAAATCAATATAAAATTATGTACTAGGCTAGACATTAATAAACTTTATTATTCCTCTTTATTATATCTTCTCATAAAGATGTTTCCATAATTAAGGAAAATTGTTTTTTCATAATTGTTTTATTCTTTCAAATAATTATTCTATCTTTAACTATTATATATTTCAAATAATAATCGGAATAAATATCTACAAAAGCTCCACAAATGTAAACTTTAAAATCAGTGATAACAATTATATTCGGGAAGATGACATTATTATTCTAATAGAGTGTAAATATATGTTCCCAGACCATTTTTTTTGACATCTCTTGTCAGAAAAAGTTTCAAATACAATTAAATAAATAAATAAATAAATTCAGATAACCGTCTACATAAATTCAAATAATCATCTAAATGCTGGGGTGCATGCATATGTAAATCTACAAAGTAAGCTATTACTTTGCTAGTTTAAATATTATAGTCAGGACTTTTTGCCATTAAAATCTACAAATTAACATAGCAATGTTGTTTATGTCTTCCTCTCAGTTTGACAACCATTTGCTGTATGATAATTGTAAAAAAACCTAGCGTAATTAAGCTGTATTGTCTATAAAATATCACCTATATTATTCTTATATATCTGTGGAATAATCAGAGATAAATATAAGTCATATGTATTAAAAACTAATAAATAGCTTGTTTTGTATTTAAGTTGTAATTCTATATTTTTATTATTGTTTAAAAATTATGCTCCCTACCATTAACTACGCTGAATGAGAAAACTTAAAACAAATCAGATATATGGTTTCGAAGTAGTTTTTTTTTTTTTTCATTTTGTATGGTGTGTCTTCACTTGATTGATTCCTTTCCCATGCATAAGATTTTTAGTTTTTATACAATCCCATATGTCTATTTTTGTTTTTGTTGCTTGTGGTTTTGGAATCCTATCCAAAAAATAATTTCCTAAACCAATGTGTGAAAAGGGATTAATATTCAAAATATGTAAGAAATTGAAACAACACTATAGAAAGAAAACAAATAGCTTGATTACAATAATAATAATAATAGTAATAGGCAAAGGACCTGAATGAACATTTCTGAAAAGAAGACATACAAATGCTTAACAAGTATATGAAAAAAGCTCAATATCACTAATTATTAGAGAAATCCAAATCAAATCCATAATAAAACATCAGCTTACACATGTTAGAATGGCTAATATCAAAAAACAAAAGATTCAACATACTCAAATCTATAAATGTGATTCACCAAACCCTCAACAAACTAAGCATTGAAGGGACATATCTCAAGATAATGAAATCTATGTATGACAAAACCACAGCCAACATCATACTGAACAGGAAAAGCTGAAAGCATTCTTTCTAAGATGTGGAAGAAGAGAAGGATGCTCACTTTTACCAGTCCTATTCAATATAGTACTAGAAGTCCTAGCCAGCATAATCAGGCAAGAGAAATAAATAAGTGTCATCCAAATTAGAAAAGAAAAATCAAATTATCTCTATTTGCTGATACTATGATCTTATACCTAGATAACCCTAAAATCTCCTTCAAAAGACTGCAAGATTTGGTAAACAAATTCAGTAAAGTCCAAGAATACATAATAAATATACCAAAATAAGGAGTATTTCTATGCATCCATAATAATTAAGCTGAAAATCAAATCCAAAAGTCAATCCCATTTATAGTCATTACAAAAAATAATGAAATACCTAGGAATACATTTCACCAAAGAAGTGAAAACGTCTACGTACAAAAACTACAAAATACTCATGAAAGAAACTGTAGATGACACTAACAATGGAAAAACATCCTTTGCTCATGGATCATAACAATCAATACCCTTAATATGATCATACTGCCCAAAATAGTCTACAGATTCAGTGTAATCCCTATCAAAATATCAAAGTGACTTTTATAGAATTAGAATAAAAAAGTCCTAAGATTCTTATGGACCCAAAAAAAAAAAGACCCCAAATAGCCAAAGGAAACAGAACAAAGCTGGAAGTATCATACTACCTGACTTCAAATTATACTACAAAAGCTTGGTAATCTAAACAGCCTGGTATTGGTGTTAAAATAGACACATAACCCAGTGGAACAGAATACGGAATCCATAAATAAAGCCATATACCTACAGCCAACTGATATTTGACAAAGTTGACAAAAACCTTCACTGGGGAAAAGACACCTTTTTCAATAAGTTGTGCTGGGAAATTTGGATACTCATATGCAGAAGAATAAAATTTAATCTCTGTCTCTCACTCTATATAAAAAATTGACACAAGATTTAAATGTAAGACTTTAAATAATAAAAATAGTAGAAGAAAAAATAGGAAAAACTCTTCTAAACATTGGAATATAAAGAGAATTCATGACTAAGACCTCAAAAGCAAATGTCATAAAAACAAAAATAGACAAATGGGACTTTATTAAACTAAAAAGAGTCTGCATAGCAAAAGAAAAAATCAGCAGAGTGAACAGACAGCCTGGCAAATAGGAGAAAATATTTTCCAACCATGCATCCAATAAAGAACTGACATTCAGAATCTACAAAAAAACTCAAATGACTCAATCACCACCACCACCACCACCACCACAACAACAAACCATTAAAAAATGGGCAAAGGGCATGAACAGGCATTTTTCAAAAGAAGACATACAAGTGTCAACCAGCATATGAAAAAAATGCTCAACATCACTAATCACTAGAGAAATGAAAATTAAAACAACAATATGTTATAATTTTATACCAGTCATAATGGCTATTATTAAAAATTTAAAAACAAAAAAAGATGTGCAGAAAAGGGAATGTTTACATATTGTCAGCAAGAATGTAAATTGATACAACCTTTATGAAAAACAGTATGGTTATTTCTCAAGAACCAAGAATACAACTACCTTTCAATCCAGCAATTCCACTACTGGGTATCTATGCAAAAGAAAATAAATCATTTTATCAAGAAGATATCTGCATTCATATGTTTATTCTAGCACTCTTCACAACAGCAAAGTTATGGAATCAAACTGCCTATGAATGGATGATTGAATAATGAAAATGTGGTGCAAGAATATATATATATGTATGTGTATATATATGTATGTGTGTATGTATACATGGATGACATTTATTATATTCTGTGTGTGTGTGTATATGTGTGTGTGTGTATATATATAATGATATATATAAAATGGAATACTATTCAGCCATAACAAACAATGAAATAATGTCTTTGGCAGCAGCATGGATGGAACTGGAGGCTTTTTTGTTAACTAAAATAACCCCAAAACAAAGTGTCAAAATTTGCATGTTCTCACTTAAAAGCAGGAGGTAAATAATATGTACATATCAACAGAGATTGGAATAATAGACATCAGAGACTCAGAAAGGTGGGAGGGTGGGAGGGGAAATAGGATGAAAAATTACATTGCAGTTACAATATATACCATTGTGTAATGGGTACCTAAAAGCCCAGATTTTGCCACTGCACAATGTATCTGTGTAACAAAACTGCACTTGTTCCCCCTAAATCTATAAAAATAGTTTTAAAAAGATAGCAAGCATAGGGGAGAATGTGGAAAAAACAGAACTCTTGTACACTATTGATGAAAATGTAAATTGATATAGCTATATGACAAGAGTATGAAGGTTTTCAAAAAATTAGAAAGATTTCTATTTTTTAATAAGAAATATTTCTTATTTAAAATTACCATATTATCCAGCAACCCCACGTTACAGTAGACATACAAAGAAAATAATATATATATTTATAAATATATATATATATGTACATGAGAGAGAGACAGAGAGGGATATCAAGGTTTCAGAGAGAGAGATTGATTTTCTTTATCCATTCATTTGTTGATGAGCATATCTTGGCTATTGTGAAGAATGCTGTAATAAATATAGGTGTATGGAATGGGTATCTCTTTGAGATACTGATTTTATGTATATCTCCACAAATACAAACTCAGCCAGTAGCAAACCAGTGGCATGACAGTTGCTGTCATTATGGTAGTTACTGAGAATCAAAAGAAGCAAATAAGACTCCAAGTACTCTCAAGAATGTCAGTTGGGTAATAATACTTATTAACCACATATCAATTACTTACTATATATAAAACCTCTTGTATGGTCTTATTTAAAATTATTTTTACAATGTGGTAATTGCACTTATTTCTGTAATAAAGAGAGAGACTAAGCTCAGTGAGGCTGACTTTTCTAAGGTAACCGAGGTAATGCTGAATGCAACCAATGTCCATACTTGCTGTGGTTTAATGGATCTCTTCCAAAACTCAGGTGAAGCCAATGTAATGGTATTGAGAGGTAATGCCTTTAAGAGGTGATTAGGCTATGAAGGCTGCTTTGTTTATTAATGCTAGTAAGGTCCTTTTAAAAAAGGAGGAATCAGAAAGCATTTGGCTAGATTGCTAGCTTGTAATTTTGATCTTCCGCTATGTGAAGACACAGCAAGTAGGCCCTCACCAGATACTGGTGCATTGATTTTGAACTTCCCAGCCTCTAGAACTGTAAGAAATAAATTGCTGTTGTTTATGAATTTTCCAGTCTCAGGCATTAGCTTCCAGCAGCATAAAACAGACTAAGGCAGAAAGTGGAACTGAGAATAGGATGTTGCTATAACAATTACCTAAAAATGTGGAAGCAGTTTTGGAACTGGGTAATGGGTAGAGGCTAGAACCCTTTTTAAGTGAATATCTGAAAACATCTGTGTTTCTTCCTTGAATTTAAGAGTAACGGCTATTCTGATGACTTCTCAAATGAAAAGGAGAAACAAGGTATTGGAAACTGGAGGAAAAATAAACTTTGTTGTATAGTGGTAAAGAACTTTGATGAAGTATGTCCATGTCCCAGGACTTTATGGAAGCTAGAGTTAATAGTAATGAAAAAGGATGTTTGGCATAAGGAATCTCTGAGTAGCAAGGCATTCAAGATGCTGTGTGACTTCTCTTAACTGCTTAGTTATAAAAACTTAACTGCTAGTAAGTTCAAGAACAGATAAATGATTTAAAGATGGGATTCTTAATTAAAGGGAAGTGGAACATAAAGATCTGGAAAGTTCTTAACCATGGCCATATAAATAATTTTTAAGCATGTCTAGGAGAGAAAGCCAGGGGTATGATCAAGGAACCATTTGATAAGGAAAACAGTATGTCTAGAAGGAACCCAGGTACTTTTTCATCAGGACAATGAGAGAATGACCTCACCAGCATTTCAGAGCTCTTCAGGGATGCTCCTCCTATCACAGGCCTAGAGTGCTAGGACCTTGAGTGGGAGGTGCGGGGACAGAATAGTTTTAGGACAAGGGCTCAGGGTGTCTGTGGAACCTCAGGGCTAGCTGCCCATGGCTTCCTTGGGGCTCAGCTACCCACATTTGGGTGCAGCATTTCTCAACCACTCCAGCTGTGGCTCAACCAGGTCCAGGTATGGTTCAGGTCACCATTCTGGAGAGCACAAACTTTGCATCTCAAAGCATCCACGTGCTGCTAATTCTGCAGGCATGCAGAGGGCAAGAACTGTGACACAATGGCTACCTCCAATTAGATTTCAAAAGATCTCTTGAACATCCTCAGGGCCCAAAAGAGACCTGCTGCTGGCTCCAAGCTGTCACAAAGGACCCCCACTAGGGTAATGTCCATCAGAACAATGGGGTTGGGAACACCATAGAGAGTTAAAACTAGAGCAACACTTAATGGAGCCATGAGGGCTGGGCCACTCTCAGGACTCCAGAACTGTAGAGCGACAAGCATGCAACATCAGCTTGGAAGAACTGCAGGCATGTGACCTCAATACATGAGAGTTGATGTATGGGCCAAGCCCAGCAAAGTCAACATGTCATGACTGTCAAAATCGTTGGGGCCAATCCTGTGCCCTAGTGCGACTAAAAGCCAATAAATGAAGTCAAGGAGATTCTTTTCAAGCTCTAAGATTTAATGCTTCTTGCCCTCTTGGGTTTTGGAATTACTTGGGACCTATCACTCATTTCTTCTCGCTTATTTCTCCCTTTTATAATGGAAATGTCTATGCTTTGCCTGTCCCAACATTGCAGTTTGGAAGCATGTAACTTGTTTCATTTTACAGTTTACAGATGGAGAGAAATTTGCCTCAGGATGAATCATATTATGAGGGTCATCCTTATCTAATTTAGATGATACCTAGATGAGACTTTGAACTTTAGATGTTAAAGTTGGCACTGGAATAAATTAAGACTTTGAGGTTATTTGTATGAAATATATGTTATTTTGTATGTGAGAAGCACCTGAATATTGGTGGTCCAGTGGTGGAATTCTAAGCTTTAAATATGTTTTCTTCAAAATTTAGGTGTTTCTAATGTGATAATATTGAGGTGAATCTTCTAACAGGTGATTAAGCCATGAGGGCTGCTCTCTAGTTAATAGGTTAAGGTTTTTTGAAAAGGGGGTTTCATGCAGTGTTCAGTTAGCTTATTTTCTTCCTTTTGGCATGTGAGAATACAGCAAGAAGACACTCAGTAGACCAAATGTGGGTGCCTTCATCTTGGATCTCCCAGCCTCCAGAATTGTGAGAAATATATTTCTGCTCTTTATTAATTACTTAGTCTTAGGTATTCTGTTATAACAGCACAAAACAGACTAAGAGAAACATAGTTTGTACCTATATGTTTTGATAGCAATGATCTTGATTTATCTTTTTTAAAGGGATATAGTTTTCTTACCTCACTTTTTTTTGTAAATGATCAGATTGTATATAGCATATAGTTGCTGTTAGAGTGAAAATGAAAATTGACACCTATTTATCCCACAGAATTTTAAAGTATAATATTCATGCACATCTTCTAGTAGTAGTTTTATTACAGTTATAAAATTACTAGCCAGAAACTGAAGTGCAGAAATGATGACATCAAGAATAAGATATCCCAGGGAGAGAATTAATGTCAAAATAATTACATGGTTCACAGTCAAGACTGTGTGATTATTAGCAACTCTAGAGAAGCTAATTAAGTAAGTAAAAAAGCATGTTTAAGCCAGTTAAGTTGGAGTATTTCTATGGCTTCTGAACAAATAGGTAACACCTAATAGCTGAGAATGTACTCATTAATCAAAGGAACTGAGAATTATATCACACTGATTAAAGCCACATGTAAAATGCGTATTTCGTCTTCTTTTTAAATTAGATCTTAGCAAATGCTGATGGCTACTAACTTTAATGTACTCCTACAGTCAGATAAGTTTTTCATTTTATTATTTTTTCACAATGATTTTTATAATTACTTAAATTTTAGCAATTTCTTGTCCTTTTTTAAATCAATACTTATTGTTAGTTTTTAAATAGTACCAAATTGCATCTTTAAAAATATAGAACAAACTTCTTGTATGAAGTCTGAACACAGGAAAAATAGAATGTGCAGTAGTTTAGCAAATTTAAGATAAGGCTAACATGTGACATTTACTCACCTCTGAAATAAACATTACTCTAGTTATGTCTAAATTAATTTATCTTTATTCCAAAGATTTTATTTAGAAAAGAAAAATAAAACAACAGAAATCTCTTTATATATGAATATGGAAGAATCATACGTACCGGGAGGAAAAAATGTAGAATTTTGTAAGGTGAAAAGAATCATAAAAGTCACAAATGCAGTGGCAGTGCAAGGTTAAAAATCTTGCTACTCATTGCAGGCCATTGATCTTAATTCTTACTTAGGCTGCCTTCATGATTTGTGGTTTATTATAAAATACATCACTGCAAAGTTTTCAAGAAAGTACTCCTCAAGTTTTCATGAAATAAATACAACATGATGAATTAACTTAGCAAATGTTTTCATGCTTCACATCCCACGATTTTAGTACAATTCAGAGCCAATTAAAAAGAGTATGTTAATAATTATTCAGAAAATACTTGTTTTCAAGAGTATTTCAATTATTCTTTAAAAAGTGAAGAAATTTACTTTTAAAATTTTAACGTTTTTCTTTAAATAAAAATTGAAGAAAATTTAGAGTTTTCTGTTAAGCATTATAAATATTAAACAAATTAAAAGGTATGGAGTGTATAGCTCTTAATGTAATACAGATTCCATGAGAATATAGCATGAGTCAGTTAGAAATGCAAAACTGAATAAAAGAAATGTATATTTATAATGTCTTGCTGTAGTGTTTGATTTTATATCTCACTTTATCTTTGCTTTAAATATTTGCAAACTGGCTAGCATCTTCTAAAATGTAGTCTAACTTTTCAGTGCTATTTCGTATTTAAAATCATGCATTTTGAGTAGAATTTGGTGGCAAGAATGTATTGTCCAAAATTGGAAATATTAACACAAAAATGTTTGAGGACAATAGAAAATAGGTTAACATGTATTTCAATGGCTCCTAAATCTTGAAGAATGTGCTAGCCTCTAGAGAATAGAAAACTGAAGAGGATGCATTTTGTAATCTGACAGACCTTGCTTTTAATCCTGGATTGTGAAATTATTTGATGTGTGACTTTGAACAGGTTACTTGTATTTTTTTGATATCTGTGTTTCTTCTGCAAAGTGGGGATAATCAAATCTACCTTACTGAACTATTTTGAGAATTAGAGATGGCTTATTTCAACAACTGAGAATGTACTTGTCACAGAGAGAAGTAAGAAAATTTCCTAGGCCTTGAGCTATTCTGTACTTCCTACAATGCTTTTACACCTGGCAATCATTCTGGAACCACCTAGAGAGTTTTTAAGATGTTCCGATGGCCATGTTATTTCACACACTAATTAAATTAGAATCTCCATCGGAGGGACCTGAAAATTGGTATGTGTTTAAAACTGGAGTCATAAAAGTTGTAGCCAGATTTACAAATCACTGATTTAAAACAAGGCAAATAGATATTGTCAATAGTCTTAAAAATTTGTGGTCATAGCTATTGAACAAATTTAATATTAAACAACCTTAGATCAACAATAAATGGAATGAGAGAATTCAAAGGATCTTTGAGACAATGGCAGGAATAAAACTAGGAAATGAGAGAAAATAAGATAATGCCATTGCTCTTAATTGAAAAGAAAATAACAATGAAGAAGCAGTGTTTTGCAAAGGAAAGTTGAGGTATGATAGTATTAATACAATCCTTTTATATATTTATATAATTTTGGTCAAAGTAGAAAGGCAAGTTCCGAGGTTAAATTTAAAAAGTTATATCTAGTGATGCATAAAAACATGTAATTACATATGCAAAATGGGTAATTTTGCATGTGATCTATAATTTGCTTTTGTTTAATTTGAAGTTTAGCTAAATTACTTCCTTTGCCTGTAGAGTTTTAGGTTGCTATATTTTTCTCCATTTGAAATCTTCTAAAGCATCACCTGCATTTGCCTTGGAGACTTAAAACCTTTCTTTAATTCAATATATATCTGTCCCAGGTGGATCTCATATAACCATGACAGTATTAACAGGTTCATGAAATAAAATTAGGCTTGATTACAAATTGTTATGTATTTTTATAACGGCAATTATAAATTATTAAAGATATTGGGAAAATTTTATGAAATTTTTCCCATATATAGACAGAAGTAAATTTTTTATAAAAGATGATATTGTGCATCTGTTATTTGAAATTTTTTAAGAAGAGAAACTATGTAGAGGCAATATCTTTGTTTGCTTATCAATTTAAAGAATGTTTTGGTCATCTATATCTCCTGGTTATCTATATCTCCTTTAAAAATTATAGTAAAATATATTTAGCAAATGAGACATTTGTTCACGTATAACATTTTCTTTCAAGCCCCAGTTTATACTGCCATATATCTTGCATGTATTTAATTATAATATTTAAGCCTGAAGCACATTTTTCTTATAATTTATCTTCTAACATTGTAATGATATGAAATAAATTAATGCTTATTTAAGGGTGGACCTTCCAGTTCACTGGAGCGGTCTTTTATTAAATATCACCCTGTGGACATAAAAATCAAATACGCTTTCTCAAACGTTTCACTTTCAGGCAAGAATTAGATACCCCATGCCAAGAAAATAGCTCGTTAAATGCCTCCAGTTTGAAGATTTATATTTTTTAAAATACATTATCTATATATACACACACAGAATAAACTCTTCCATAAAATATCCACTTCCTAATAACTGAAATCATAAATGTGATTACAATAAGGATTTTGGGATGGGGAGACCATTTTGGATAGTCAAGGTTGACTCAGTGTAATCACGAGAGATCTTAAAAGTGAAAGTAGGGCCAGGCGCGGTGGTTCACGCCTGTAATCCCAGCACTTTGGAAGACCGAGGCGGGCGGATCACAAGGTCAAGAGATCAAGACCATCTTGGCCAATATGGTGAAACCTCGTCTCTACTAAAAATACAAAAATTAGCCGGGCGTGGTGGTGCATGCCTGTAATCCCAGCTACTTAGGAGGCTGAGGCAGGAGAATCACTTGAACCAGGGAGGCAGAGGTTGCAGTGAGCCGAAATCCCGCCACGGCACTCCAGCCTGGTGACAGAGTGAGACTGTGTCTCCAAAAAAAAAAAAAAAAAAAAAAAAAGTGAAAATAGGAAGTAAAAGAAGTGTCAATGTCAGAGTGATGAGATGTAAGAAAGACAATTGTCCATTGTTGGCTTTAAAAGTAAAAGAAAGCCGTAGCCAGGGAACATTGGCAGCCTCTAGAAGCTAAAAACGTCAAGTAAACAGAGTCTTTCCTGGAGCCTCCAGAGAGAGCATGACCATGCGGAAATCTTGATTTTGTTCCAGTAAAACCCATTTGGGAACGCTGATTTCCAGAAATGAAACAAAATAAATTTGTATTAGTTTAAACCAGTATGTTTGTGATAATTTCTTACTGCAACGATACAAATGATTGTGTACAGTTGCATGTGTTTTGTGTATATGTAAATTGAAGTCAGAGTAGATTTAGAAGCAAAAATTCTAGGAAGCCACAAGAAATTCACAACATAATTGCATTTATCTGTTTTTAATGAAGCATCAGCTCATGTGAAGTTAAGATTCTGGAGACATAACCATATCGTCCTCTAAGATCTGGGGCTGTGGATGGAAACTGGCAAGTTAACTATCTAATGAGAGTTGGAGGGAGGATAATAGTGACATTCTTAACTGGCATTTATTACTTCTTTTTAAATAAAATGAAACGGGGAGGGATGAATGCCAGGGTGTTTTTAAGAAACAGTATGCTTGAAAGGATAGATTCTCAGTCAACAATTGCTATCTGGTCTGTCTAGAATGGTGAATCAGTAGCGAATGTTTGACCTTGAATGAGTTGGTCAGTTTCTGTTTTGTCTACTGTAAAATAATAAAGGTACTATCAATTCCAAAGTTAATTGTGAAAATAAGTATATAAAATAAAACAAATATTCTGGGATATAACACGTGTCCCAAAATATTAAGTCCCTTTGCTCCTGTATGCATGTCTTGTACTCTACATAGCAGACACATTAAAAGTTATATGTAAAGTTAAGTTATATGTAAAGTTAAGAAAAATAAGCCTCAGTGCTCACACCTGTAATTCCAGCACTTTGGGAGGCCAAGGCGGGTGGATCACCTGAGGTCGGGAGTTTGAGACCAGCCTTGCCAACATGGCAGAAATCCGTCTCTATTAAAAATACAAAAAATATACGTAATATATTATGTATATTATGTATATTATAATATGTATAAATATAATATATTTATAATATACACATACATATTATATATTATGTATAATATTATAAATATATTATATATTATATATATAATTTATATATAATATATATTATATTATATATATTATATAATGTTATATATATTATATATAATATAATATAATATATATAATATATAACATATAATATATATGTTATATATAATATATATGTTGTATATAATATATACATAATATGTTATATATGTTGTATATATAATATATAATATATTATGTTGTATGTATAATATATTATGTATATATTATATACACATAACATATATATGTGCCAAGCATCATGGTGCTCTCCTGTAATCCTAACTAATAGGGAGGCTGAGGCAGGAGAATTACTTGAACCCAGGAGGGGGAAGTTGTAGTGATCCGAGATCGAGCCATTGTACTCCAGCCTGGGCAAAAGAGCGAGACTCCATCTCAAAAAAAAAAAAGCCTCAGTGACTGCCTTTTTTAGGTGTGCATCTGCTTCAGAGTCAATAAAATAAGAAATTAGAATGCAAATTTCAAATTTAATTCTGGTAAGGTCTGCTTCTCATTTGAAGAGAGAAGCTTTCCATCCTGCCTTCACCTAAATGCATGCTACTCCAGGTATATCTATTTTCCAGAATTGAGAAACAGGAAAAGTATATGAACCAAATTCATAAAACTTCCTATGACTTTAAGTTCTATTATGCCCTATTTTTCATAATAAAACAAATCCCTAAAAACAGATACAACTGGCAATAAAGAAACACAGTTTTATACTTCAAATGAAAGGTTGTGTGAAACAACATGTGAAATGCTAATGATACCACATTTATCTCCTGCTTAAGAACTGAATTTCTCTAAATAAATATTGTCATATAATCTCCAAAAAAATCTTCACAGACCACTGCTATAAAAGTCGTTTCAAATATCTTTTTATTTTTAAAATTTTATTTCAGAATTAGAAACATTTTCCAGTAAAAATTCTAAGTCCATTCTATGTCACAATGAAAGCCATTCCATTTAGTAATTCTACTGTCCATAATTTTTTGTTTGCCAATTTAAAACTTAGATTCCACTTTCAATGTACATATTTGAGTGATTTATAAGCTATTATTGCATTTATATAAGAATATGAGAAAATTGAATTATAATTACAGACTAAAGGCGCAAAAATTTAAAAACTGTGCATTTCCATACCTTAAAGTATTTATACACTCAAGAACATGTTATGTATGTACACTGACAAAAATAAAATGAAATGTATAGTTATAACATAGATATGGGTACCCATTTATCACGTACAAGCCCTATTGTAATGGACCGAATGTTTGTGTCCCTCTCAAAATACATATCTTGAAATCTAATCCATAGTGAAATGGTATATGATAGTAGGGATTTTGGAGGTAGTTAGGTTATGAGAGTGGAACCTCGTGAATGGGATTAGTGGCCTTATAAAAAGAAGCTAAATAACTCTCTTGCCCTCTTCCCACCATGTGGGGCTACAACACGATGTCGGTGGTCTGCACCCCAGAAGAGGAGCCTCACGAGAACCCCGTCATGGTGGCACACTGAACTCAGACTTTCAGCCTCCAGAACTTTGAAAAATAAATTTCTGTTTTTTTATAAGCCATCCAATCTATGATGTTACAGCATTCCAAACTAAGACAACTGCTGACAAAGTAGACAAAATATAGTAATCAAATATTTAATTCAAACTACTTAATCAGTGTTTGAGGATGAGAAAGAGGAGTTTGATCCTAACTCTTATGCCTATTTTAAAAAACACATTTATTCATTCATTCATTTTTATTACGGGCCTATGACTTACCCTATGTCAATCTCCTGGCAAACATAACTGAACAAAATAGGAAAAGATATTTGTCCTCTAGGCCTTGAAATTGGCAGTGAAAAATATGCATAATCAATAAGTAAATCATATCATAGTTTTAAATTTTTTAAATATTGAAAAAAATAAGTATAGAGCAACTGAAGTTCACCAGATTTTCTTTTTTTTAGCCTGATACAGTAAAAACGTTAAAAGATAAAGTATTTATCAACTTATCCCCAGAAATATTTTCACAAATAGTATCATTCTTTAATTTTCAAAACTCCTCTGATAGATCCTTATCAGTAACAATCTTAGAATTGAAAGATTGAAAATTGAAATTGAAAATAATGTGTTGAAGAACACTCAACTAGCAATGTCACCTTATGTAAAAATGTGACTTTGTTTATATGAGATGAAGGTTTGTTAAACATTTTATTGCAGATTTCAGCTGGCTATTGAAAGTTTAATATAAGATAAAGGATGGCAAAGAATGAATTTCAAATATCCGGTCTACGTATACAAGTTCTATCCTTCCGGCAAAGGAATCAAGACATATTTCTAGCTCCATTTGGAGCTAGAACTGAGTCTTCTGTTACTTAAATTAGGCCCATTTGAGATGTCTCTACAGAATGGAATAGTGTAAAGGAAAAAACTCAGTATAGAACTTCTGCTTTTCGCAGATGTGAGCAGTGAATGGATGTTATCTTTCACAATTAGCAGCAGCAGAGGTTTCTAATGGTTGCCAGGTCACAGAATGGCACCTTTCTGGTGGCAGTAGCTATTGTCCTCTAGTGAACATACTTGTTTTGTGCCCACAGTTGCAGAAGTTGCAGAGTTGGAGGTTTCTCCCCAGGTAAGATCTTGCTGTATGCTTCTGAGGAGGCACCTGGCGAGAGAAGCAAATACACAGCTCCTCTGTTCCTCCAATCATTACTTAATGATTTCATAAATGACTTATTCAATAATGAATCCCTTTTTCACTTAAAGTAGATAGAGTACTTTTGGTTATTTAGTAATCAACAACCTTGACTGGCATAATGAACTTAAAGAGCAGGTGGCTTCCTGACACTCTTTCCCCTGTATCTGAAACTGATTCTTTTTCTTTTCTTTAGGGTCCCCGCTTGAGGTCAAAGCAGAGGGACTCTGAATTTGTTGTGCTTGTTTCTTCTTTGGAGGTTTTCCTTATCAAATGTGTGTGTTCTTCCTAATTTAAGATCCTGTCCCATCTCCAAGGCATTCTGCTGCTCACTCTGCATCTGCCCTGCATGTCACATGCAACTCTGCAGGACTCTTCTAATAATACAAACCAGTGTTACCCACTTTGTTAACTTCTCATGTTTCATTAGTTGTTTTCTAGTAGTCTTTCTTCTGTTTTCCAAGAAGAGAAGTAAAAACATACTTTTTACCAATTGATATGCTTCTCACCATATTTAAGAATATTTTCAGGACTTTATGGTGTGACTTCTGTATGTGGTATTTTTAGGATCCTTAGCTACCAATTTCTAATGGCCTGCCCAGAGGACTTAATATTCTTACACAAAATCTCCACTGTCCATATTAGGAAGTTCTCTTCCCAGTCCTTCTTTTAAAGTTACTTTTTCTGTAGTGGAGGCTGGTTTCCCATTGGCTTACTAGAGCCTACATACTCAATTTTTAGAATAGAACTATTATGTATGTATACATATTATGATATACACTATCAGAATATATAATTATGACATATAAGGCTAAGTTATATAATTTTATTTTACTTTAAAATAAAAATAGGAGCCAGATATGGGTTGGCTGTGTCCCACCCAAACCTCATCTTATAACTCTCATAATTCCCACATGTTGTGGGAAGGACCCGATGGTACGTAATTGAATCATGGGGGCAGGTCTTTCTCATGCCATTCTCTTGATAGTGAATAAGTTTCATGAGATCTTATTATAAGGAGAGTTTCCCTGCACAAGCTCTCTCTCTTTGCCTGCTGCCCTTCATGTAAAATGTGACTTGCTCCTCCTTGCCTCCTACCATGATTGTGAGGCCTCCCCAGCCATGTGGAACTGTAAGTCCATTAAACATCTTTCTTTTATAAATTGCTCAGTCTCAGGTATATCTTTACCAGCAGCATGAAAAGAGACTAATACAGTGCCCTCACTAAAATAAATTATGTGGGTAACTTTGAATTACATGGATTACTTTGTGTTTGCTAATTGGTGTTTATGGAAATTAGGCTCCTGCCCTCCCACAGAGGCTAAGGGATGAGGGCTCTATCTCTCCTGATGATTTCATTTCAAAGGGATGGCTCCTTGAGAAAGAAAGACAGTCCTAAATTGTAAACCTAGCCAGAGACTAGGAGAAGATTTGCATCTCAAAGGGTCAAAGGAAGAATTCACACTGGAGAGTTTTCTACAGTAAATGTTCTAAGAAAAGGGAGGACAGGGTCCCATGATCAGGAAGAAACGGTCACAAGTTTGGCCAAGCTGAGGGGAACATTAAGGCTATCTGGCTCTGGGTTTGTGAAAAGCTAGCAGGGCACTTAACTTCTATTTGCTTGGGAAACCTAGGACCCTCAAGGTAAGGAATTAACTTATCAGGGAGAGCAAACAGACACTGAGCTTCATGTAAAAATAGTGCTGTTTATTTTTTAATTTTTTATTAATTTTTTAGTATACTGTAGTTTGTATTGCTCAGCAATCTTCTGTCCTGGCTTCAGTTTCACTGCTCAACCTCAGGGTCCTGTGATGAAGCTGGATAAGTCAGTAACAAGAAATAAATAAGTAGATCATTAAAATAACTGTGAGTTAATGCGCGCTTGAGACAATGTCCAAATTATTGTCATGTACTGGAGTGAAATCAAGCCCAGCAAGAGAAGTGTTTGCTCGAGTTTAATGAAGCTATTATGGGAACACAGAGTAAGATGCAGCAGAGTGAGGGGCACAGAGGCCTGGAGAGAGAGAAGCATCGATAACCACATGAAACAGGAAGCCACATGAACATAACAGAGGTCTCAGCAGCAAGCAAATCTGATTATTGAGGGAGTAGAGAAGATAAAATAAAGTGAACCTAGAATTTGCTGGGATATCAAGGGTTTGAAGCCATAGAGAGCTTGATATATATATGAAGTAATTGACTGTGATCTTTACACAATTTAGAAAGAAAAATAGCCTGTTCGAGATTTACACAATCCCTACATAGTGCCCGAATTACCAGACTATGTACAACACGCAGACTAGTTCAATTCAGAGAAATCTGTTATGTATATGCCCTGTTCATCACAGGGCAGAGATGTTCACAGTCATCCTCTGTTATACACATACTATTTGTATGTGCTTTCATAAAGAAACTGAATTATAAGAAAAAATATACAACTTGAAATAGCCAAATATACTAACTTGATTATGACGTAGCCTTTGGATATTTTAGAAGAAGTAACATTAAATTGCATGTATTTTAAGCCACAATGAAAATAACAGGATATGCGTAAGGCTAAGCTGCGTGATATTCCCGATGAATCTCTGCATTTGAGAGAAGTAATTACTGCTGCTCTTCTGAACTTTTGGTACCTGCTATTAACCCAGTAGGAAATTTTAAATTGTAACTTACCCTGAAGTCAAACACTCATAGAAATGACTGAGCTCCTCCTTCTCACAGGAATAATAAACATTCTTTTCTATCTTCCTTTGAACTAAGGGGGCTGAACATTGCATAAAAATAGTATGTATGTGGTTTTCATTTAAGTATTCTTTTGCTGTATTATTTCATTTAAAATAGTATAAAGAAAAAAGTAGTAAGTATAATACTTTCATTGTAATCATTGTTATTTTGTACTTGTACTAAGTGTAGGCTAACTATGATATAGATCAGTAAAACAGATATTTGTAATTGTTTTATATGGAACATTCAAAATAGAAATATAAAACCATTTTTGTCTGCTTTCAAATTAATACCCTCTGGCTGGTGATTGCATGTTCTCACTAGCATAACTTTTCAAAGTTTAATGACTGGATATTTTAGAGAAGGACAGTATTCTATATCAGCCATAATTTTGGGCAATTTCAAATGTACATTTATATCTCTTTCTGGCTGAATACTTTGGAAGAAACCAGGGAGTTATAATTTGGAGAAAACTGCACTTAGAATATCAAAAAATAACAAGTGATTTCTGATTTAAGAAAAAAATGTTCCCGATATCTCACTGAGTCTTGTGTGTGCACGTGGGTCCATGTGTCTGAGTGCACCTTGCTTCTCAAACTGCCTGATATTTAATATTATCGTGTGATATTCCCAAGAACGCTGTTACAAGGCATAGCTTGCTACATTAATTTTTAAAGTAGCTAATTTTGAGCATATGCTCTGACATACTCTGAAATTAATGTGTACTGTGGACATGTAGGTGGTGACTGATGGGGAAATAAGGAATTGATTATTCTTATGGGACATTAAGACACTGGCAAATAAAGAGACAATAAAAACGGAAAAGGCATTGTTTATTCAACAGGAATTGGTATGTGATATACATTCTATTAAGTAGGAAGGAAAAAGGCAAATCTACTATTTGATAAATAATATTAGAACGAGTCAATTCTAGATTGGAAAAAAATTGTAGACACGAACCTCACATTATCCAAAAACGATAAATTCAATGATATAAATCCATACATAAATTCAATAATAAACAATAATCATTGAAAAGGAATCCTGAAAAGTATTAAAGAAAATAAAAAGATAAATAACTATAGAAATAAACAAGGAAAGAAAAAGATTAATACATTTAAATATGTCAAAATAGAAAGTTATTTGTTAAAAAATATTGTCAACGTACAAATAACTAGTGAGTAGACTCTTTAAAGATTTCTTACAAATAAATTAGAACAAAAGAGAAAACCAGGTGCAATGTAGACGGCTTGTGAAGGGGCCTTGGAGTGAGGAATCAGGACACTGAGCCGCTTGGCCCCGCAGGATGAGGAGCTGCTGCATTAGTTTATTTGCCTCTTTTGTGCTGAGTGGCAAGAATCCCGCACAATAGGAAGCTGCTTGGCCACAGGAAGGAAGGAGGCGCGGCCACAGCCACACGATGAACCTCGGAACCTCACGCTCCGGGCAGCAAGCCACCAGGAAAGGCCACACGTCGATTCCATTTTTATCGATGTCCGGAATAAGCGAATCCTAGAGATGGAGAGTAGATGACGGGCTGCTGAGGATTCGGGATACTTTGGCGGTGATAACTCAAGGACGTGGGGTTTCCTTTTGATTGTGGTTGCACAGCTCTGTGAATCACTAAAAATCAAAGAATTGTGCACTGTAAATAGGTGAATTGTATGGTAGGTGAATTGCATCTTAATGAGGCTGTTAACAAAATTAAAAGGAAAACGGGAATAAGGTGAGATCTACGTAGCCAGTTACTACATTCTGTTCTTCAACTGTTATTTTACCAAAAGTCATCAAACAATACGGCTAAAATGGAAGCATCTTACCATTTGCAGGTAACAACACAACTGGCCTGTGACACATGCAGGAACACCCGGAGAGTCCAATTTCGCCAGCGGACGGCCGGACCCAAAAAGGCTGGGAGAGTCCAGTTTCACCAATAGACAGCTGGACCCAGAAAGGCTGGGAGAGTCCAGATTCACCAGCAGGCTGCCGGACCCGGCAAGGAAGGCTGACACCTAGTGAGGTTGACAGTGCAGGCCGGGAGCTCACCTGGCTTTTGGCCCTGGTGTTTCCGATGTGGTGTCTCACACAGGAGTTCAGCTCCTCTCAGAATAGTGGACCCGGTATTGTTTGTAAAGACCTACCAATAGCTCAATGTCTATACACGGGGTAAGAGCACAGGGTCCAGAGAGAATTTCCTGGGGCCCAGAATTGGTGCTGGGTCCCATAGTGGAAAACCTGAACCCAACACCTGGGAGTGCTCTTGGGAACCTGCACTTTCCTGGGTCAGGAAGAGGTGACAAACCCGTGGCAACACCCGCCCACCACCACACCTGAGTCCACACCTGCCCACCAGAACACCCGCCCACCACCACACCTGAGTCCACACCTGCCCACCACAACACCTGCCCACCACAACACCTGCCCACCACAACACCCACCCACCACAACACCTACCCACCACAACACCTGAGTCCACACCTGCCCACCACAACACCCACCCACCACAACACCCAAGTCCACACCTGCCCACCACCACACCCGCCCACCACCACACCCGAGTCCACACCTGCCCACCACAACACCCGCCCACCACCACACTGAGTCCACACCTGCCCACCACAACACCTGCCCACCACCACACCTGCCCACCACAACACCCGCCCACCACAACACCCGCCCACCACCACACCTGCCCACCACAACTGCCCACCACAACACCCGTCCACCACAACACCCGCCCACCATAACACCCGCCCACCACCACACCCGAGTCCACACCTGCCCACCACAACACCCGCCCACCACAACACCCGCCCACCACCACACCTAAGTCCACACCTGCCCAGAACAACACCCACCCACCACAACACCTGCCCACTACAACACCTGCCCACCACAACACCTGCCCACCACAACACCTGCCCACAACACCCACCCACCACAACACCTGAGCCCACACCTGCCCACCACAACACCCACCCACCACAACACCTGAGCCCACACCTGCCCACCACAACACCTGCCCACCACCACAACTGCCCACCACAACACCCATCCACCACAACACCTGCCCACCACAACCACCCGAGTCCACACCTGCCCACCACAACACCCGCCCACCACAACACCTGCCCACCACCACACCTGAGTCCACACCTGCCCAGAACAACACCCACCCACCACAACACCTGCCCACTACAACACCTGCCCACCACAACACCTGCCCACCAAAACACCTGCCCACCACAACACCCACCCACCACAATACCTGAGCCCACACCTGCCCACCACAACACCCACCCACCACAACACCTGAGCCCACACCTGCCCACAACACCCGCCCACCACCACACCTGCCCGCCACAACACCCGTCCACCACAACACCTGCCCACCACAACACCTGCCCACCACCACACCTGCCCACCACAACAACCGTCCACCACAACACCCGCCCACCATAACACCCGCCCACCACCACACCCGAGTCCACACCTGCCCACCACAACACCCGCCCACCACAACACCCGCCCACCACCACACCTGAGTCCACACCTGCCCAGAACAACACCCACCCACCACAACACCTGCCCACTACAACACCTGCCCACCACAACACCTGCCCACAACACCCGCCCACCACAACACCCACCCACCACAATACCTGAGCCCACACCTGCCCACCACAACACCCACCCACCACAACACCTGAGCCCACACCTGCCCACCACAACACCTGCCTACCACAACACCTGAGTCCACACCTGCCCAGAACAACACCCGCCCACCACCACAACACCCGCCCACCACCACACCTGAGTCCACACCTACCTGCGCACCACAATATCCACCCACCACAACACCCATTTATTTATACATATATACATATATGCAAAAATTGTCTTCATAGGCCTCTCGTAGTACATGGAGATCCTGTACATGTTTGGAAAGATTCATATCTAAATGTTTCATTGTTTGGACCTATTATACAAAGGCATTTTTTAAAAAATTGAATCTCCAATTATACATTGCTATTATGTCAAAATATGATTGGCTTTCTATGTGAATGTAGAAATATGGTTTGTTGATCATAAATTCTACTTTGCCAAATTCATTCATTATTTCTGGGAGTTATTTATTTAGTTAGTTTTTGTGTTTCTTGGGATTTTCTGTGTGTAAAATCATGTCATCTACAACTAAGGACACTGCTGTTTTCTCTCCAATCAATATGCATTTTATTTCTTTTTCTTGCCTTATTGTACTGACTGGGATTTTAAGTATGATGTCCAATAGGATTAGAAAATCTGGGCATTCTTATCTTCTTCCTGATCTCACTGAGAAAGCATGGGTCCCTCACTGTCGAGTGTGAGGCCAGCCATAGACCTTCTGCAGATGCCCTGTTCAGGTTGGAGAAGTTCTCCTCTAGTCTTTGTTGCTGACTTTTTATCATAAATTGATATTGCTTTATCAACTGCCTTTTGGCATCAATTGATATTATCATGTCATTTTTATTATTTAGACTGTGAATATGATGTATTGCATTAGTCAATTTTACTTTTTTAGCTATGAAACCACCCTTGTATATACCCAAAGGATTATAAATCATGCTGCTATAAAGACACATGCACACGTATGTTTATTGCAGCACTATTCACAATAGCAAAGACTTGAGTTTTGAAATTTTTGTTTCAAGTATTTTAGAGTTCTGGCACTTGGTGAATTCACATTTAGGATTGATGTTGTCTTGACCCTTTTGTCATTATTTATTTCTTCTCTTTATCCCTGGTGATTTTGTTTGCTTCAAAGCATACTTTGCCTGATACTAATGTGGCTTATCCCACTGTCTTTGATGAGGGTTTGCATGGCGTTTGCTTCATTTTTCATCTTTGGATTTTCATCCTATCTCTATCATTATATTTGGAGTGATTTAATTTTACATAGTGCATCACTGTCTAGGAAATAAAATGTACATAGTTAACTTTTCACACACTGCCTAGAATCCATATTTGCTAGTTGGAATTTATGAATCAATCTCCACGTAGATCTCCTTCACCTGCCCCTCCAGTGACAGGAGAGTTACTAGCTAGTCTGCACACTGAGTCTCCACGAGAAGATATTCTCATTTAAAGCATTCCTTTCTCATGTTTTTCTCTGTTGTTAAGATTGGATAATTTCCATTAATCTATATTCAAATCCACAGACTCTTTGTTCCATTCTGGTATTTCTTTACCATCTTCTATAATCCCATCCAGTGAGGTTTTTTTCAAAAAGAACTTATTGCCCCTCCTTTCTAAGATGTCCATTTGGTTTATGTTTATATCTTCTAGTTCCTTCCTGAGATTTTCTCCTTTCTCATTTGATTCAAGAGGGTTTGTGACTATGGGTGGAGTGATTTTATCATAGCTATTTTCATGTTTTTGTCAGCAGATCACAACACCTCAGTCGTCTTGGCATGGGCATGGGCTGGCTGGGGTTCCTGAGTGAGTTGAGATTTTCCTGGTTCTTCATATCCTAGTAAGGTTGAATTGCATTCTGGACACCATGAATATTATGTTAGGAGACTCTGCATCTTATTTTACTCCAATGAAGAATGTTGATTTTGTATTGGTTTGTTTTAGTGAGCATTAACCCAATTAAATTCAGGCTGCAAGTTTCAACTAACATTTTATGGTCTGGGTTTCCACAGCCAGTTCCTTTCTCAAAACGTTCAGTGCTGTTTGCATTTGCCCTGTGTGTGCACCGCCAGGGTCTAGGCTGAGGTCTGCCCGTGAGCTCAAATCCACATGTGAGCAGCCCAGGGCAGCCCAGGAGGCCACACGCCACTTACCAAGACTCTCCCTCTCCCGAATCTCCCTAAAATGTCCTTTCTTCCTGGGAACCCTCATTTTTGTTCTCTGGCTAGAAAGCTAGGGATTTGGTTACCTGCTGAGCTGTGCACTCCCATGGCTGTGGCAGGCCTGGGCCAAGTACTGGGAAGACAGAGGGAGGAAGAAGCAAAGGGAGTGATCCCATCCTGCTGGAGCCCCACATGGAAAGGAGGTTCCCCCGCAGGGCTGGGTCCTGCCCTCTGCCTTTGTCACCACAGCTGCTGCCACAGACCCAGGTGACTGTTGGGGGGCAGGGGGCAGAGGGCGGGGTGTGGGGAGGGGTGGGATGTCTGCCCTTCCCTTTAGGTCCTCTCTCTGTGGCCCCCAGCTCAGACTGCGTGGTCTTCCCTGGAGTGTCCTGCACATGGCCCCTGAGCGCTTGTGGACCCGGCTGCCTCCATGTGGGCAGGGGATGCAGAAGGCGCCCAGGAGGGGACACAGGTGCACCCGCTGCCTGGTCGCTGCTCTTCATGTTCTGCACCATTGTTCTTTCCAGAGTACGTGGCCAGGGACTCCCTAGGAGAGGCGAGTGGCACGTCTCCCCTCCTCAACCAGTAATGGAAGCCCCCTGAGCAGGACCTTCTCAGCGAGGGCTCCAGAGGGCTCTGGCAGCAGACCTGCCGCGGCTTGCTTGTATGTTCAGTCCTGATGTTCAGGAACTAACATCACTTAAATATTTATGCAAACTTGTGTCCACGGAGTCGTGCAGCTTCAACCACTGGGTACTTTTCATGGAGTCCTAGTTCACATGCACTAGTTTCCTTTTCTACTATTTATACTTTTGTGGAACTTTAAAATTTGTTCTATAACGTTTCTGTCCCCTAAAAAATCTTTTAAAAATGAAATTTGATACATATAAAATACCAACACTTCTACAGTTATGTCCTAGTCTGTCCACGTGATCATTAGCTGGGATGGATCAGCTCATGTGATGCTGAAGAACCACGTGGCTTAAGTGTTATAACAATTTTCAGGACTTTGTTATATAGAAGATGATTTCTGTTTCTACTTTGAATATAAATTTATGTCAGTAGGAATGGGATGGGTAAGCCACCTCGTGGCACTTCACTGTGTGTGAAAAATTCTAAGACGTATTGTCCTGTGAAGAACTTCCAAAGGGATGGCTTGGTGACCGACAGTTTCTGACCATGTTTCACTGCTACAAAGAGGGTTATGCTGCATTAATCTGTCCTCATGGGTGACGGACAGGATTTCACCCCACCACAACCTATTGAAGCCCCACTTCTCTGACTTCAGAGCTGTCCAGGGCCCAGGCTATGAGGCAGCTGTCGAGAGGTCCCACGTACAGGTTGGGAGCACCTTTTCTCAAGAAACTTACAGGACAGCTCCTGGAACTGAGGCCTACATGACAATGGAGAATTCAGACTTTGTTTCACTTCTTAAAAAAGAAGTCCAGTTAGATTTATGAGTATGTCCATGAACATGCAAAAATATAACTAATTTCTGAAAGTACTGCATACGTGAGTGCTGGTTCGTGGATGTCAGTATGATGCCACCTGTGTGAGGCTATCAACATTAGGAAGATGAAAGACACTCCTGAAATACAAGTCAGAACGGGGGCAAGTGCTGGAAGAGATCAACGAAATGCCACCCACCAACCCCAGAGCCTGGCAGAAAGCAGCTCGCCCAGGAGGGCCAGTCGGGTTCTGTGCCAGCTTCCCTGGGCTACTTAACAGCATTCTAGACACTGGGGGCTTCAACAACAGCAACCTATTATCTCACGGTTCTGGGGGCCAGAAGTCTCTGAGATCAAGGTGTAGCCGGGTGTGGTGGCACATGCCTGTAGTCGCAGGTACTCAGGAGGCTAAGGCAGGAGAATCAATTGAACCAGGGAGGCAGAGGTTGCAGTGAGCTGAGATCGCACCATGCACTCCAGCCTAGGAGACAGAGTGGGACTCCGTCTCAAAAAAAATAAAAAAAATAAAAAAAAAGAAGGTTCCAAGTAGTGTAAACAAAAATAAAGCAGGCTGGACTTGATGGCTCATGCCTGTAATTCCAACACTTCGGGAGGCTGAAGTGGAAAGATTGCTTGAGCTCAGGAGTTCGTTAGCAGCCTGGGCAACATGGCAAAACCCTGTCTCTGAAAAAAAAAAAATTAGCTGGGTGTGGTGGCATGCACCTGTAGTCCCAGCCACTGTGGAGGCTGAGGAGGGAGGATTGCTTGAGCCCGGGAGGTGAAGGTTGCAGTAAGCCAAGATCATGCCATTGCACTCCAGCCTGGATGACAGAGCCCAGACCCTGAAAAGAAAGAAAGAAAGAGAAAGAAAGAAAGAAAGGAAGGAAGGAAGGAAGGAAGGAAGGAAGGAAGGAAGGAAGGAAGGAAAAAGAAGAAAGAAAGAAAGAAAGAAAGAAAGAAAGAAAGAAAGAAAGAAAGAAAGAAAGAAAGAAAGAAAGGAAGGAAGGAAGGAAGGAAGGAAGGAAGGAAGGAAGGAAAAAGAAGAAAGAAAGAAAGAAAGAAAGAAAGAAAGAAAGAAAGAAAGAAAGAAAGAAAGAAAGGAAGGAAGGAAGGAAGGAAGGAAGGAAGGAAGGAGGACGGAAGGGAGGAAGGAAGGGGAGAGAAATGGGGGCATGCAGGTGAGGAGGTTGGGGACACAGGGAGGGTGCTGGGGATGCAAGCTTTCCTGAGCTCTTACAGTTTTCTGCCCCTCTCCTGTCTCACGGGGCGTGGGCCACCTGGGGCTTGTGGTTGTTTTGCGCCGAGCTAATATCTTGTTCTTCCCAACAGATAGAGGCCCATTGAGGCTTCTCTGTCCTCCATGGGTAACAGCGTTGGCCTAAACCTGCAGACACCATTGTAAAGGGAAGTCAGCTCAGGCGAACCTGCTGTCGAAGAATGATTCCAGCGTGGGGACACCGAGGCTGACATGTCTTGCTGTGGGCGATTTAACGTTGGGCCTCAATATTTCACTCCCCATATAAGAGTATGCCACAGCCACATCCTTGCCGGGGTTATGCTGCATTAGTCGGCAGCAAGGGAGGGTGGATAGACTTATCCATCCCAGAGGTGTTGCTCGTGGCTGGGTGACTTTCTTCTGCCAACAAGATTTTCACAGACATGGCACAAGCAGAAGCCTGTAATGTGTGGGCACCGCCAGGCCTGCCCTCTAAGGCTCTTGATTTTCCCCATGAGATGCGCATGCCCCAGGGAATGGCGGCTCTGGCTGCAGGAAGAGAGGCGTGTGAGGCACACATGGTTCCCATCCTCAACCTAGAGTCAAGCCCAGAGTAGATCAGCCTAAGCCCAGCCATGCCATGGGTGCAGGAGTGAAGAGCAAATTCTAACTGTCTACTGAATTGACTTTCAAAGGCGCATGTCATGTGCCTCATCCCAGCAACAGTGAAGGTATTTCTCTATCAGTCACTAGGTAAATAATTATTGATAAACAACGTGCTAGGAAGGTGGAGTGATTTCGGTAGATTTGGCCTGTATTCTCATGGAGCTTCCTTTCTAGAGGGAAAGTCAGATGATGGACAGATAAATATAAATGACTCTAATAGGTTGGTGCAGCAGTCATTGTGGTTTTTGCCATCAAAAGTAATGGCAAAAAAAAAGTGGGGAGGAGCTGGTGCTGTAGTTCATTAACAGTAATGGCAAAAACCACGATGACTTCTGCACCAACCTAATAGCATAATTACAGGTGTGCACAATGTGGCAATAGGGAACTTCCAAGTGCTAGGATAGCATCTAGCTTCCTGGAGTCAGGAGACAGGGGTTGCAACCTAACCAAGGTTAAGTCCAAGTGAGGGGGGTGGGCAGGGAGTGATATGTCAGTGGAGACTCCAAGGG
This sequence comes from Homo sapiens, assembly GCF_000001405.40. Taxonomy (NCBI): domain Eukaryota; kingdom Metazoa; phylum Chordata; class Mammalia; order Primates; family Hominidae; genus Homo; species Homo sapiens. The sequence goes on along the minus strand of NC_000005.10, from coordinate 26,229,390 downwards.
TGAATGGTAATTAGAGAGTAAACCCCGATTGGGAGAGGGGGGGTGTTTCCAGCACAGAGAAGAGCCTGTGCAAAGGCCGGGGAGGCAGGGGGGTGGGAGGACACACTGTGTGCATCCACCTGAGGGGCGGCAAGCAGGCTGGAGCTGAGCGGGTTGAGAGGAGGATGCGAAGCCCGGGAAAGGCACCCCAGGCAGAGGGCACAGCAAGGCAAAGGCCCAGAGTCAGGCCTGAGCCTGTATGGTTTGAGGAACTGACAGAGGCCTGTCCAGCAGGAAGGGAACCGCAGAGGGGAGAGACCTTAGGCCAGAGCAGAGGGCAGGGTAGAGGGCAGGGCTGTGTTGGGCACTGTGCGCTATGGATGGGCGCTGGCATTTAAGAGGGGAGACCATAGGCCAGAGCAGAGGGCAGGACCATGCTGGGCACTGTGGGCTGTGGATGGGAGCTGGCATTTAAAAGGGGGGACCATAAGCCAGGGCAGAGGGAAGGGCCGTGCTGGGCACCAGAGTGGAGACCATAGGCCAGGGCAGAGGGCAGGGCCATGCTGGGCACTGTAGCCTGCAGATGGGAGCTGGCAACCATAGGCCAGGGCAGAGGGCAGGCCCGTGCTGGGCACTGTAAGCTGCAGATGGGAGCTGGCATTTAAGAGAGGAGACCATAGGCCAGGGCAGAGGGCAGGGCCATGCTGGGCACTGTGGGCTGTGGATGGGAGCTGGCATTTAAGAGGGGAGTCCATAGACCAGGGCAGAGGGCAGGGCCATGCTGGGCACTGTGGGCTGTGGACGGGAGCTGGCATTTATGCTGGGGTGATGGGAACATGTTAAAAGATTTTAAGGAGGGGAGTAACATTTGGGATTAATGTGTATTCTGGGAATCTCAGCAAAGGAAATTCATGGTTTGAATTTTCATAAGATTTCTGCACAGGCAGAGAGAAATAAGATCATGTCTAGAGCCCTGTGATGATCATATTAAAAATATTACTAAGTTTTTAAACGTCATTTCAAATGGTGTATTTCTATCTCACGTTGAACATAAGATTACAAGGTTAATGGAAAGCAGGAAAGTTAACTGAGTTGCATGAACATAAAAGATAACGTTGATTTGAAAACAAAACATTTATTCATTTACTTCCGCTGCTGTTTTCTTGACTGAGAATTTCATAAGAAGGGATTGTTCAGAGGGTCGTGGGGCTGAAGACCCGGGCAGGAGCTGGTGCTACCGCTGTTGAAATCTGAGGGTGGTGGAAATGGAACGTTGGCGAGGAGCGGGCGCTGCCTTTTAAGTCTATGAGAGTCGTTGAGCTGGAGGTCCATGGAGGAGCTGGTGCTGCTGGTGCTGCCACTGATGTCTTAGGTTGTGGAGCTGAAGACCAATGAAGGAGCCGGTGTTGCTGTTCTTCTGTGAGGGTCGTGGAGCTGGAGATCCAGGCGAGGGAGGTGTTCTAGTTTGAGGATCTTTCTGCTGGAGACCCTGGAGGAGCTGGGGTTGTTTTAATTGGAGGGTCATGGAGCTGGAGACCTGGGGAGGAGCTAGTGTTTCTTAGTTTGAAGTTTGTGCAGCTGCAGACTCTGGGAGGAGTGGGTGTTTCTTTAGTTTGAGGGTCATGCAGCTGTAGAACCCGGAAGGAGCTGGTGTTTTTCTAGTTTGAGGGACTTGCAGCTGGAGACCTGAGGAGGAGCTGATTTTCTAGATTGAGGGTCGTGCAGCTGAAGACTTGGGGAGGAGCTGATGTTCTAGATTGAGGGTCATTTAGCTGGAGACCCAGAGAGGAGCTGGTGTTGTTCTAGTTTGAGGTTCATATAGCTGGAGACCTGGGGAGGAGCGGGTGTTTTTTAGTTCGAGAGTCATGCAGCTGTAGAACCAAGTGGAGCTAGCATTTTTCTAGTATGAGTGTCCTGCAGCTGGAGACCCAGAGAAGAGCTGATGTTCCAGTTTGAGGTTCGTGCAGCTGGAGACCCAGAGGGGAGCTGGTGTTTCCTTAGTTTGAGGGTCATGCAGCTGTAGAACCTGGGAGGAGTTGATGTTGTTCTAGTTTCAGGGTTGTGCAGCTATAGACCCAGAGAGGAGCTGGTGTTTCTTTAGTTCGAGGGTCATGCAGCTTTAGAACCTGGGAGAAGCTGGCGTTTTTCTCGTATGAGTATCCTGCAGCTGGAGACCTGGAGAGGAGCTGATGTTCTAGTTTGAGACCCGTGCAGCTGAAGACTCGGGGAGGAGCTGATGTTGTTCTCGTTTGAGGGTCTTTCAGCTGGAGACCCAGAGGGCAGCTGATGTTGTTCTAGTTTGAGGTTCATGCAGCTGGAGACCCAGACAGGAGCTGGTGTTTCCTTAGTTTGAGGATCATGCAGCTGTAGAACCTGGAAGGAGCTGGTGTTTTTCTAGTATGAATGTCTTGCAGCTGGAGACCCAGAGAGGAGCTGATGTTCTAGTTTGAGGGTTGTGCAGCTGAAGACTCTGGCAGGAGCTGATGTTGTAGTTTGAAGTTCATGCAGCTGGAGACCCAGAGAGGAGCTGGTGTTTCTTTAGTTTGAGGGTCATGCAACTGTAGAACCCGGAAGGAGCTGGCATTTTTCTAGTATGAGTGTCCTGCAGCTGGAGACCCGGAGAGGAGCTGATGCTCTAGTTTGAGGGTCGTGCAACTGAAGACTCGGGGAGGAGCTGATGTTGTTCTCATTTGAGGGTCTTTCAGCTGGAGATCTGGAGAGGAGCTGATATTGTTCTAGTTTGAAAGTCATGGAGCTGGAGACCCAGAGAAGAGCTGGTATTGTTCTACTTTGAGGGCCGTGCAGCTGGAGACCTGGGGAGGAGTGGGTGTTTTTTAGTTTGAGGATCATGCAGCTGTAGAACCGAGAGGAGCTGGTGTTTTTCTATTATGAGTGTCATGCAGCTAGAGACCCGGAGAGGAGGTGATGGTCTAGACTGAGGGTCGTGCAGCTGAGGACTAGGGGAGGAGCTGATGTTCTAGTTTGAGGGTTGTGCAACTGGAGACCCAGAGAGGAGCTGGTGTTTCTTTAGTTTGAGGGTCATGCAGCTGTAGAACCCGGAGGAGCTGGCGTTTTTCTAGTATGAGTGTGCTGCAGCTGGAGACCCAGAGAGGAGCTGATGTTCTAGTTTGAGGGTCATGCAACTGAAGACTCAGGGAGGAGCTAATGTTGTTCTTGTTTGAGGGTCTTTCAGCTGGAGACCCAGAGAGGAGCTGATGTTATTCCAGTTTGAGGGTCATGGAGCTGGAGACCCAGAGAGGAGCTGGTATTGTTCTACTTTGAGGTTCGTGCACTTGGAGACCCAGAGAGGACCTGGTGTTTCTTTAGTTTGAGGGTTGTGCAGCTGTAGAACCCAGGAGGAGCTGGCGTTTTTCTAGTATGAGTGTTATGCAGCTGGAGACCTGGAGAGGAGCTGATGTTCTAGTTTCAAGGACGTGCGGCTGATGACTCGAGGAGGAGCTGTTGTTGTTGTTCTCCTTTGAGGGTCATGGAGCTGGAAACCCAGAGAGGAGCTGGTGTTGTTCTAATTTGAGTTTCGTGCAGCTTGAGACCCAGAGAGGAGCTGGTGTTTTTGTTTGAGGGCCGTGCAGCTTTAGAACCTGGGAGGCGCTGGCGTTTTTCTATTATAAGTGTCCTGCAGCTAGAGACACTGAGAAGATCTGATGTTCTAGTTTGAGGGTTGTGCCGCTGAAGACTCAGGGAGGAGCTGATGTTGTTCTTGTTTGAGGGTCTTTAGCTGGAGACTCAGGGAGAAGCTGATGTTGTTCTAGTTTGAGGGTCATGGAGCTGGAGACCCGGGTAGGAGCTCATCTTCTAGTTTAAGGGTTGTGCAGCTGGAGACCTGGGGAGGAGCTGATGTTCTAGTTTGAGGATCATGCAGCTGGAGACATGGGGAGGAGCCAATGTTTTTCTGATCAGAGGGTCGTGCAGCTGGAGAAATGGGGAGGAGCTGGTGCTGCTGTTGTTTAAGTCTGAGGGTCATGAAGCTGGAGATCCGGGGAGGAGCTGATGTTCTAGTTTGAACATTGTAAAGCTGGAGACAAGGGGAGAAGCTGATGTTGTTCTAGTCTGACGGTCATGGAGCTGGAGACCCAGGGAGAAGCTGGTGTTTTTTGAGTTTGAGAGTCATGCAGCTGACCCTCAAACATCCTCAAACTAGAACGACACTGCTCTCCTTTGGGTGTCCAGCTCCACGACCCTCATACTAGAAAAACACCGGCTTCTCCCTCGGTGTACAGCTCCAAGACCTTCAAACTAGAAAATTATCAGCTTCTCCCTGGGTGTCCAGCTCCACAACCCTCAAACTGGAAAAACACCAGCTCCTCCCTGGATGTCCAGCTCCACGATGCTCAAACTAGATTTAAATCAGCTCCTTCTCGGGTGTACAGCTGTATGATCCTCAAACTAGAAAAAGCTTGGAAGGTTTTTATAGTTTGCTGCTGTTTTTCTCATTTGAGGGTCATGCAGATGGAGACCCAAGGAGGAGCTGATGTTGTCCTAGTTTGAGGGTCATGGAGCTTGGAGACCCAGGGAGGAGCTGGTGTTTTTCTAGTTTGAGGGTCGTGCAGCTGGAGATCCAGGGAGGAGGTAGTCCTGCAGTTCAAATGTGAGGGTCCCGGAGCTGAATCTATGAAAGGAGCCAATCCTGCCACTGATGTCTTAGGTTGTGGAGCTGGAGACCTGCGGAGGAGCCGATGTTGGTGTTCTAGTGCGAGGGTCATGCAGCTGGAGATCCAGGGAGTTGCTGATGGTGTTCTAGTTGAGGGCTGTGGAGCTGGAAAACCAGGGAGGTCAGCTGATCCTTCTGTTGTTTAAGTTGGAAGGTCATCGAGCTGGAGATCTGGGGAAGAGCTGGTGCTGCGGTTCAAGTCTGAGGGTCCTGGAGCTTGAGTCCCTGGAAGGAGTTGGTGCTGCTACTCATGTCTTAGGTTGTAAAGCTGGAGATCCACGGAGGAACCAGTGTTGCTGTTCTAGTGTGAGGTTTGTGGAGCTGGAGATCCAAGGGTGAGCGGTGTTATTCTAGTTTGAGTGTCGTGCAGCTGGAGACCTGGGGAGAAGCTGTTGTCGTTCTAGTTTGAGTGTCATGCAGCTGGAGACCCGGGAAGGAGCTGATGTTGTTCTAGTTTGAGGGTCTTGCAGCTGGAGACCTGGGGAGGAGCTGGTGCTGTTCTAGTTTGAGAGTCGTGGAGCTGGAGATTCATGGATGAGCTGGTGCTATTGTTGTTTAAGTCTGAGGGTTGTGGAGCTGGAGATCCAGGGAAGAGTGGGTGCTGTGGTTCAAGTCTGAGGGTCCCAGAGCTGGAGCCCCCAGGAGGAGTTTGTACTGCCACTGATGTCTTAGGTTTTGGAGCCGGAGACCTGCGGAGAAGCCGGGCTGGTGTTCTAGTTTGAAGTTTGTGGAGCTGGAATCCTGGTCAGGAGCCAGTGATGCTGTTTAAGTCTGAAGTTCATGGAGCTAAACATGCAGCTGATGTTGGGGAAGTAGAGTAGAGAGAGAGTTACAGGATGCCACTTGAAACTGTACATATAGCTGAATCCTAAGCAAGTTAAGTCTGGGAGCTTGTCAGTCCTTGTGGTCAATGAATTCCTTTTTCTGTTACACAGTTTGGATTTGTTTTGTGTCTCACGTGATAGAAAGACCCTGATTAATACCCTCAGAATTAAAAAGAAAACAAAATGATATTGGTATAATAATAATAGAAATTGAACTATGATTATCCTGACAGATACAAAATCACACACCACATGCAATATATATCTTTTCAATCAGTTAGCTAAATAAAATATAAATTGAAAAATAGACCCATGCAAAGCTATAAAAAGTTATTTAATGGAGAAGTGATGGATGACAGAGATTAATCTGAGAGTTACTATTAATGGAGAAACTTAGAACTTACTATTTTTCCTGTGAGGTTTCGGTGCTGATGCTGATATTCTGTGAGTTCTGGCAGCTGAGTTCGTTCGCACAGCCTGGTGATGCAGCAGGTGTCACAGAAGGACACTGTCCCAGCTGGTCCTGCTCCACTGCTGTGATGGTGCAGCCTTTCATCTCTGACTGTGTCTTGAGGGGAGACCAGGCCCTTGATCACAAGCATATCCCTGGTGAAGTTCTGTGGATGGAACCTCATGGATGTTCCTGATGTTCCTTCCTAATGTTCATCTGCCGTCTTGCTATTTAATGCATCTTGTTTGTAACTGTCTTCTAAATATTGAATAGAAATAAAGCATTTGTACAATATGGGTAAGGTATAAAGAATATCGACACATTGCACACAGAGGACCTCCATCAAGTTTAGGGAATAGAATCTGAAGAGATATAACTTTGGATGCTCCCTGGTGGCCCTGCCTGAGTTCCAGTCACTTCTCTTCTCCTACAGAGGGAATCACTTCCTGCTTTAGTCTTTATTTGCTTCACAGTACATTTCTTTCACCCTGTGTAGATCCCTAAAAAATATGCCATTTAGTTTTGGAACTTTCTGTTGTCTTTTTGAGACAGGGTCTTGCTCTGTTGCCCCGGCTGTAGTTTTGAACTTTCATGTGAAGAAATTCTCCTGTGTGGCTGCTCCTATGCTGTATGGCTCTGAGCATCGGCTTGGTGTCTATTTTTGTCCTCCATTCTCTTCCTGATACCCACCTACATTGACATGATTCATTTTCATTTCTGTGTAATCTCCTGTCGTATGAGGGGAGCATGGGAAATGTCTTCATTTCCCTGTGGATGAGTGTTTGGCCAGGTTGGGGCCCTTAGGACTGTGGTTTGCTAGGAATGTTCTTGGGCATTTCTTTTGTACACAAGTGCAAGTTTCTTCTGGTCAGTAGCTTTCAATTTTTAAATTTCATCCCAGGTAAGAAATGTAATTTCCTTATAACACACAACACATACCCTTTCAGATACAAGCATAACAAAAATATATCTCACAACCATTCTTAGCAGTTCCTGGTGTTCCTGCTACTTTCCATTCTCCTCAACACTTGCATTGATTGGGTTGTGGGATTTTTGCCAGTCTGGTGGGTGTCAGGTGATATCTCCCTGTTAGGCTGAGACTCTCTTCATGTTTTTAGTAGCCATTTCTCCACATTTCCTCTTCTGTGGAGGGCTGGTTCAACTCTTTTGCCCAATTTCTGTTTAGTTCTTTGAATTTTTGCTTTTTTCTTTTATTATTACTATTATTATGTTTTTGTGATAGGGTCTCACTCTGTCCCCCAGGCTGGAGTGCAGTGGCACGATCTCAGCTCACTGCAAACTCCACCTTCTAGGTTCAAGTGATTCTCTTGCCTCAGCCTCCCGAGTAGCTGGGATTACAGGCAGATGCCACAACACCCAGCTAATTTTTGTATTTTTACTAGAGATGGGGTTTCACCATGTTGGCCAGGCTGGTCTCAAACTCCTGACCTCAGGATATTTTCACTGGATATACTATTCTAGGATGAAAGGTTTTTTTTTGTTGTTGTTTTTGTTTGTTTTTTGTTTTTTCCTTCAGTTCTTTAAATATGTCATGCCAGTCTCTCCTGGCTTATAAGGTTTCCACTGAAAAGTCTGCTGCAAAATATACTGGAGCTCCTTATATGTTATTTGTTTCTTTTATCTTTCTTCCTTCAGAATTCTTTCTTCATCCTTGACTTTTGGGAGTCTGATCATTAAATGACTTTTAGGTCATCTTCTTTGGATTAAATCTACTTGGTGTTCTATAACCTTCTTGCATTTGTATATTGATATCATTCTCTAGGTTTGGGAAGCTCTCTGTTACTACCTCTTGGGATAGATTTACTATGCTGATCTCTCTCTCTACCTCCTCTAATGTTTAGATTTGTTCTTTTGAGGATATTTTCTAGATCTCGTAGGTGTGCTTCATTGTTTTTATTTTATTTCTCACTTTACAGTTTTTTATTCTTTTTTATTTTGTCTTCTCTGACTGTGTATTTTCAAATAGCCTGTCTTCAACCTCACTAATTCTTTCTTCTGCTTGATCAGTTCTGCTGGTAAGAGATTTGATGCATTCTTCAGTATGTCAATTACATTTTTCAGGTTGAGAATTTCTGCTTGATTTTTAAAATTTATTTCAATCTCTTTGTTAAATATATTTGATAGGATTCTGAACTCCTTCTCTGTGTTGTCTTGAGTTTCATTGAGCCTCCTCAAAACAGCTATTTTGAAATTTTTCTCTGAAAGTTCACATATTTTTGTCACTCTGAGACTGGTCCCTCATGCCTTATTTAGTTCATTTTGTGTGGTCATGTTTTCCTGGATGCTCTTGATGCTTGTGGATGTTGGTCAATGTCTGGGCATTAAATAATTAGTTATTTATTATAATCTCCACAGTCTGTGCTTGTGTGTACCCATCTTTCTTTGTTTCTTTCTTTTTTCTGAGACAGAGTCTCACTCTGCCACTCAGGCTGGAGTGCAATGGCATGATCATGGCTCACTGCAGCCTCAGCCTCCTGGGCTCAAGTGATCCTCTCACTTCAGCCTCCCAAATAGCTGGGACTACAGGCACATGCCACCATGTCCAGCTGATTTTTGTATTTTTTGTAGACACAGGGTCTCAATATGTTGCCCAGGTTGGTCTTGATCTCATGGATTTAAGTGATCCTCCCTCCTCAGCTTCCCAAAGTGCTGGAATTATAGACAGATAGGCATGAGCCACCACATCTGGGCCTGTTCTTCTTCTTCTTGTTCTTCTTTTTTTTTCTTAATGGAGTTTCGCTCTTGTTGCCCAGGCTGGAGTGCAGTGGCACAATCTTGGCTTACTGCAACCTCCACCTCCCGGGTTCAAGTGATTCTCCTGCCTCAGCCTCCTGAGTAGCTGGGATTACAGGCATGAACCACCATGCCCGGCCAATTATGTATTTTTAGTAGAGACAGGGTTTCTCCATGTTGGTCAGGCCGGTCTCAAACTCCCGACCTCAGGTGATCCACCCGCCTCGGCCTCCCAAAGTGCTGGGATTACAGGCGTGAGCCACTGCGCCCAGCCTCCCATCCTTCTTGAAAAGGCTTTTCCAGTATTCAAAGGGAATTGATGGTTGTGATGTGATCTAAGTCTTTGGTCACTGCAGACATATCTGCATTAGAGACACCTCAAGCCCAATAACACTATGACTCTTGCAGACTCATAGAGGTACCACCTTGGCGGTCTTAAGTAAGATCTGGGAGAATTCCCTGGATTACCAGGCAGACCCTCTTGTTCTTTTCCTTCACTTTCCCCCAAACAAATGGAGTCTCTCTCTCCATGCTGAGCTGTCTGGAGTTAGAGAAGGGCAACACAAGTACTCCTGTGGCCACCGGCACTGGGACTGTAGCAGGACAAGCCACAGACAAAACCCCTCAGACACTGGGTTAAATAAGGAAGAGGCTTTATTCTGTTGGGAGCGTCGGCAGACTTGTGTCTCAAGAACCGAACTCCTCGAAGAAAGAGTTCCTGGCCCTTTTAAGGGCTTATAACTCTAAGGGGTTCCATGTGAAAGGGTTGTGATAGATTGAGATCTATAGATAGCACATGTGGTTAGAATGGGGGGTTAGTTTTTTAACCTCAGGCCTGGTCATCAGTGGCACTGGCTGGTTTTGCCACTGACTTCATTCCTGCTGTTTTTCGGCTTTTACTTCCTCCTTCTCCTCAGAGACAGGAGACAGTAAGAGAAATGGCCTCTCTCCTCAGGACCATGTTGGGTCAGACCTGAAGCCAGCCCAGCACTGGGTCTCTCCCACAGCCTGCAGCAACTATGGCTTCACTCCCACTGATGTTTCTTTAAGGCCCAAGTGCTCTTTGCTGAGCAGGAGGTGAATGCAGCCAGGCTTGTCTTTCTCCTTTCAGGGTGTGGGTTCCCTTCTGGCCCAGGGTGGGTCTAGAAACCAGGGTGAATCTTGAAAGAAATGCTTTCCAGGAGCTAGGGCCTAGAATTGAGAATTTTTGAAATCTACTTGGTGCTTGATTTTACTGTGGGTGAGCTGGCACCCTAGTTAAAGACAGAGTCGTTCTCAGTCTCCCCTCTCCTTTCCTCAAGCAGAAGGAACCTCTCCCCATGGCCACTACCACCCCAGCCCGTGGCAAGAACTGCTTGGCAACCACTGATGTTTCTTCAAGCCCCAGGGCCTCTTTAGTCAGCAGGTGGCAAATGCAGCCAGGCTTGTGTCTTTCTCTTCAGGGTGGCAGATTCCCTTCCAGCTCAGAGCAGGTGCAGAAATGCCATCCAGGAACTAAGGCCTGGAACCTGGGACTTTAGGAGTCTGCTTGGTGCTTTCTTTACTATGGGTGAGCTGGTACCCCTATTGCAAGACAAAGTCCTCTTTACTCTTCTCTCCCTTTTTCTCAAGGAGAAGGAGCCTCTCTCTGTGGCCATCACAGCTGGAATGTGCTGGGTCACACTTAAAGCCAGTAAGGCTCTGAGTCTCACCCAAGACCCCTGGTGAGTACTGCCTGGCTACTGCTGATATTTATTTAAGGCCCAAGGGCTATTTAGTCAGGAGGTGAAGAATGCTGCCAGGATGGGTCCCTTTCCTTCCAGGCGGCAGGTTTCCTTCTGGCCCAGTATGTGTCTAGAAATGTTGTCCAGGAGCTGGGGTCTAGAACAGGGGAGCTTCAGGACTCTGCTGGGTGAGTTATTTTACTGTGGCTGAGCTGGTACCCAAGTGACAAGACAAAGTCCTCTTTATCCTCCTCTCTCCTCTCTTCCAGTAGAAGGAAGGAGTCTCTCCCAGCGCTGTGAGCTGCACAGCCTGGGGGGTGGGTGAGGGTTGACACAAACACTCTCTGGGCTGCCCCTACTGGTGTCTCACTAGGTCTTGTGCACCCCAAGTCCAGTGGCTCCAGGGCGCTTCCAGGAATTGCAATCCCTGCGGCCTAGACTGCCTTTCAAGTTTATTTAGGACCCCAGAGCCCTTTAGCCAGCAGTGTGTGGCTTGCCAGAACTCAGGTTCACACCACTGGGATTGAGGATTTGCCTTTGCTAGGGCTGGTGTAAATGCTGTGTCTGTGAGTGCCCGCTGAGTGCTGCCCTGTGTTGTTTTCCACTGTGACTGGGCAGCACCAAGTGCCAATGCAAAGTCCTATCATCACTGTGCTCTAAGTTCCCCAGCACACAGATTCTCTCTCTGTGCCATGGGACTGCTGCCATGGGATAGGAGATGGGTGATGTTAGCATTTCAAGACCGTCCTTCCTGTCCTCTTCAGCGCCTCTTTTCTTGAGATGATATTAAAACCAGATACTGCAATTGTTCATCTGATTTTTGGTTCTTATGAAGGTGCTTTCTCATCTTGAGAGTTTTCCGTTTTGTGGTCCTAGGCAGGGGTGGGGTGGGGTGGGGGGTGTGGGATGATTGCTGGAGGGTTCCGCTTGAATATCTTGCTTCACTTTCTTCTCACCACCTTTTCAACATTGTTTGGAAAGCCCTAGCCAATGTGAAAAGATTAAAAAAAGAAAGAAAAGGTATGATGATTAGAAATAGGTATAATTAGGTCAGGCCAGGTGGCTCACGCCTGTAATCCCAGCATTTTGGGAGGCCAAGGTGGGAGGATCACTCGAGGTCAGGAATTTGAGACTAGCCTGGCCAACATGGCGAAACCCTGTCTCTACTAAAAGTACAAAAATTAGGCGGGCTTGGTGGTGGGCACCTGTAATCCCAGCTACTCAGGAGGCTGAGGCAGGAGAATCACTTGAACCAAGAAGGCAGAGGTTTCAGTGAGCCAAGGCTGTGCCACAGCACTCCAGTCTGGGCAACAGAGGGAGACTCTGTCTCAAAAAAAAAAAAAAAGAAAGAAAGAAAGAAAGAAAAAAATTCAGCCATGGATGAAAGCTGGAAGCCATCATTCTCAGCAAACTAACACAGGAACAGAAAACAAAACACCACATATTCTCACTCATAAGTGGGAGTTGAACAATAAGAACACATGGACACAAGGAGGGGAACATCACACACCGGGGCCTGTCGGGGGATGGGGGGCAAAGGAAAGGAGAGCATTAGGACAAACACCTAATGCATGCGGGGCTTAAAACCTCGATGAAGGGTTGATAGATGCAGCAAAGCACTATGGCGCATGTATACCTATGTAACCAACCTGCACGTTCTGCACATGTATCTCAGAACTTAAAGTAAATTTTTTTAAAAAAAGAAATAAGTACAATTATCTTTATTTGCAATGTTTATGATTGCTTCTGTATAATATCCCAAGACATTTACAAAAAAACTTCTAGAACCAATAAATGAATTTCTCAAGGTCACGGGATACAAGAGTGCTGTATTAAAATCATTCGTATTCTTGGTTGGGAGCCGTGGCTCATGCCTGTAATCCCATAACTTTGGGAGACAGAGGCGGGAAGATTGCCTGAGCTCACAAGTTCAAGACCAGCCTGAACAATGCGGTGAAACCCCATCTCTACAAAAAAATATCAATGGATCAGGGTCCAGAGGGGCTCAGCAGTTTCTACTTTTAGGATCAAGTGTGAGTTTATAATTGGAAATGGTAATGTATATTATGGTATTGGAAGAAATCTTGCATTTAGGCAGTTTACATGAAATAAATGGGCCAAAGATAATTGGCATTTGCTTCAGTATCTAATTTTTACACCCTTATTATTTGTCCATGGAGCTATAAGGGAACATATTGAGTAATTTTACATTTAATGTTGGTGTCAATTCTGACCTGTGTATCATAATATTTGCAATCCTGTATACCTTACATACTCAAATGAGAGAGATTTATCTGAAAGCATACACTATAACATAAAAAAGGAAAAAAATCTTACATGAAAATGCCAATTTCTTCCCTTTTTTTATCCCTATTTAATCAAAATTGTGAAATACATTTCACAGCGACTCTGGGAAAATATTATCATGCCTCATAGATACTTGTAAGGAAGTAATAAATTTGCTTAGTACAATATAAGATATCCTGTGAGAGCTCTATAAATACTTGTTGACTGGCTGACTAAAATAATATATACTCTTTCTCATGTGGCTGCAATTGCTAAAGAGGTATTGAACACATTCTAATTGAAATAATTCTAAAAATGCTTTCGATTTTGAGAAAATTCCACTTTACAAGTAGGAAGCTTCATCAAAGATTTATAGCAGCTAAATGAAGTAAGCTATAAAACATATCAAAAAGACTATTTGACGTGGTGGAAGTAGAATACAGTTGGTCTTGCTATAATAATTGTATTATTCAGAAAATACCTGTTTTTAAATTAGGATATTATTACCATGCAAATGGGAATATGAGGGTAACATGAACATATTTGTTTTTATTTATCTGATTTATTTCTACCCATTTCTATGACCATCAAAGCTCCTATTGGAAGTAAGACGTTAAAAACATTGCAACATGAAGGTAAATTTTACACCAGTAGAAATCACCAAATAAACGTATAAAAATATATGCAAAGTCATGAGATGGTGAAGCATACATTGTAAGCAATAAATAAATATTAGTACTTTTAGAAATTTTTAATCAACTTTTTTGAGATCTAATTTGCATTTCAAAAACCACATCCATTTTGAGTGTACCTTTTAAAATGAGTTTGACGAAAGTCAAACTCTATTATTTACCACCCCAATGGAGATAGAAAGCTTTTTTAGAAACCCCAAAGGTTTCTTTATGTTCTTTTCCCTAGTCCCCAGTAATGACCAATGTGTTTTTTGAGACTATATACTAATTTTCCCCTTCTAAGTCTCACACAATTTGAATCAAGCAGTATACCCTATTTGATGACTGGCTTCTTTTAATCAGCATAATGTGTTTATGAATGCCATTAAATGTTAACAGTAGTTCTCTACTTTCCATTGCTGAATAGTATTCTCTTGTAATAAATTTTTTGCAATGTGTTTATCCATTCACACATTAATTGACATTTGGGTTTTTACCAGGTTTTGGATACTGTGAATAGAGCTGCTATAAACTTTCATATGAGGCTTTGTGTACATATATGATTTCCTTTCCCTAAGATAAACATGTATGAATGGAATTGCTGGGTCTTTTTGTATGTGTACATTTAGTTTTATACATTTTCCTGATTTTAAAGTTTATGGATGACTGGAGTTTTATTATAGTTGCTGCTTAAATGCTGTCTTTAATTCTGGACTTGTTTTAACCACTTCTCATATTGTGGCTGTGAAATAACTGAGTAACGGGCTCGAAGTGAGTCTGGAAGTTGGGGAAAATGTTGTCTTTCTTGTGACAGTGAATGAAACATTTTACTTCAATTTCTCCTGTCAGTGCAAGGACATTCATAGGCTTTCTCAGGCTGTTGAAATATTTACAGCATGAAATTTGGGGAAATAAATTCATTTTTACCAAATTTTAATGGTTTGTGAGCAGCAGATACGTATAAAACTTTTTTTTATTATTACACTTTAAGTTTTAGGGTACATGTGCACATTGTGCAGGTTAGTTACATATGTATACATGTGCCATGCTGGTGCGCTGCACCCACTAACTCGTCATCTAGCATTAGGTATATCTCCTAATGCTATCCCTCCCCCTTCCCCCCACCCCACAACAGTCCCCAGAGTGTGATGTTCCCTTTCCCGTGTCCATGTGTTCTCATTGTTCAATTCCCACCTATGAGTGAGAATATGCGGTGTTTGGTTTTTTGTTCTTGCGATAGTTTACTGAGAATGATGATTTCCAATTTCATCCATGTCCCTACAAAGGACATGAACTCACCATTTTTATGGCTGCATAGTATTCCATGGTGTATATGTGCCACATAAAACATTTAAGGTAATTTTAAAAGTTTTCTTCTTTGCAGACTACACTTTGACTCAGATTTGACATTGAGAACTTTATTTTTTTTATTATACTTTAAGTTCTGGGGTACATGTCCAGATTGTGCAGGTTTGTTACATAGGTATACACTTGCCATGTTGGTTTGCTGCACCCATCAACCCATCATCTACATTAGGTATTTCTCCAAATGCTATCCCTGCCCTAGCACCCCACTCTCTGACAGGCCCTGGTGTGTGATGCTCCCTTCCCTGTGTCCATGTGTTCTCATTGTTCAACTCACACCTGTGAGTGAGAACATGCAGTGTTTGGTTTTCTGTTCGTGTGTTAGTTTGCTGAGAATGATGGTTTCCGGTTTCATCCATGTCCCTGCAAAAGACATGAACTCATCTTTTTATGGCTGTATAGTATTCCATGGTGTATATGTGCCACATTTTCTTTATCCAGTCTATCATTGATGGGCATTTGGGTTGGTTCCAAGTCTTTGCTATTGTGAACAGTGCCACAATAATGTATCTCAAAATAATAAGAGCTATTTATGAAAAACTCACAGCCAATATCATACTGAATGGGCAAAAACTGGAAGCATTCCCTTTGAAAACCAGCACAAGACAAGGATTCTCTCTCTCATCACTCCTATTCCACATAGTATTGGAAGTTCTGGCCAGGGCAATCAGGCAAGAGAAAGAAATCAAGGGTATTCAATTAGGAAAAGAGGAAGTAAATTTGTCTCTGTTTGCAGATTACATGATTGTATAGTTAGAAAACCCCATCGTCTCAGCTCCAAATCTCCTTAAGTTGATAAGCAACTTTAGCAAAGTCTCAGGACACAAAATCAATGTGCAAAAATCACAAGCATTCTTATACACCAATAACAGACAGAGAACTTTAACATTCATTATCCGTGCTTCAGCTTTGAAACCAGGAGGTCATTAATGGGAAACTAAAGCTGATCAACAAACTACTGTAGTGAAAAAGGGTGATAAGCTAAGAATATATGAGAGGCATTTTTATTCATCAGTATTATGGATTTTTCACCAAAGTATGAGTGGTGAAATAAATGGTTAATAGCAGAATACTCATACTATCACATGCACACACACACACACACACACACACACCCTTCACATACACAGGTAAACATATTTATTTGTATCATTTGTTTAGAATTCTATGTAAAGATTTTTTTTTTCTTTTTTTTTGAGACGGAGTCTCACTCTGTCGCCCAGGCTGGAGTGCAGTGGCACAATCTCGGATCACTGCAACCTCCGTCCCAGGTTCGTGCCATTCTCCCGCCTCAGCCTTCTGAGTAGCTGAGACTACAGGTGCCCACCACTACTCCCTGCTAATTTTGTTTTTGTATTTTTAGTAGAGACTGGGTTTCACCGTGTTAGTCAGGATGGTCTTGATCTCCTGACCTCGTGATCCACCCACCTCAGCCTCCCAAAGTGCTAGGATTACAGGCAGGAGCCACTGTGCCCAGCTATAAAGAATTTTTAGAGATTATGCTTACGAAGTTTCAACTCAAAAAAGTTAAATGCCTTTAACTTAAAAGTAAAAAAATCAAATATTATGGTAAGCTAGGTGAACAAAAACACTGTGTTTACTATATTGGTGCCACATCTGGGTACACAAACCAAGCGTTATTTTTTAAATAAATGATGTTCCCAATACAGAGTTCATTACAATTTAGATATTTTACCCTCTTCACAATTATATAGATTATGATTAATAATAATTTATTTGTAATGGCATGTATGTTTAGCTTTATATTAATTTTATGCTCTACTGAAGGATATGTTTAAATTGTAAGGTGCTAGAGGCTTATCTTTGTTTACGTAGCAGCAGTAAGAAGCAAAAAAAGATGGATTAATTGAAATGACATGAAGCATGCCCTATAGAATATAAATATTTAAGCATGTTATGAGAGTATTAACAGGGAAAACTTCCAGCAAAAGCAGTTAATTAGCACTGAATCATGATGGGTTACTATCTTTGTGCATGATTCTTTGGCTGTGAATTGTCAATAGGCTATATGTAAATGGCTATATGTAAATGATGTATTGTGTGTGATAGCCTTCACACATTTTCAGCTTAAATCAAGGAAGTGACTGGTCTTATCTTTATCACTAATTGAGCAGTGGAAAAATGTTTTCAGTTGTATTACAAAATATAGTTGTTATTATATCACTGATTAGGGACATATTTATGTAGCATTTAAAGACTAGATCATACCCTTTAATGGGGAGGACTTTTGAGACATTAACTAGAATGATTTTCATTTAATTTGGAAGAACACCTATTTGTTAATTTGAATAAGAATTGTCATGTGTGAAAATGTTAAGTGAAGCTATAACTTTTCTAGCACTTTTTAAACTTTTATCTATTTTATTTCTGTCAGGAACCAATACTAATGAAGTCATCTTGATGTGAAATTGTTTAAAAGACTAGTATTAAAGACCATAAAAACACATAACTACAACACATTAATGACTTTTCCAAAATATTGTCTTGTATTTTTTTATACACGGCAATTGACTTAAGTTTAGTTCCAAATATAAAGCATTTTGGGGCACATTTGTCTATACCTCAGTTACCCAAACCTCTTTATTTTATTGCATCTTCAAAAAAGCAAGGTCAGTGTTTTCTTATTCTGTATTAGTTAACATACACACTCATTTGGGTATCATAAAACTTATAAAAACATAGTTTAAAATATGATTAATTCTATACAATTTATTTTTTCAGAAATGTTTAGGTAGATAAATTATATTAATTGATCACATTAATTTGAGAGTTTTATATGACACAAAACAATTCTGTTTGCAAAGCTAGACAAATCATTATTGTCCTTGTTTCCTTTAAGTATTTTTTGTTTATTTTCCACCCAATACTAAATTTTGGCATGCGTAAACACAAATTCACATACACATATGCATTGTGGCCAGGGAACACAGTTTGGGACATCAACTTATAAATTCTGATGGTCATCAAACATATGAAAAAGAGAAGCCATTTTTCATCTTCTGTTACATACCTCACATTTTATAACAAAATTTGCATTTATAGTAGGAATAGTTTCATGTTCATGAATTTTTCTCATGTTTACCAGTATTAGAAATAATCTTATTTCTTTTATTAATAATTAATGTTAAAGGAATTTCATTGTCATGTTTAACATATATTTCAAGAAGTGGAATAATATAGTATTAAACCTAATACATCTCATTTATTTATTAATTTATAATTTCAACTTTTATTTTAGGTACATGTGCAGGTTTGTTTCATGGGTATATTGTATGATGCTGAGGTTTGGGATACAAATAATCCCATCACCCAGATAGTGAGCATGGCACCCAACAGTTAGTTTTTCAGACCTTGTGTCTCTCCCCCACTTTATTAGTGCTTGGTATCGATTGTTGCCATCTTCATGTTCATGAGTACCTATTGTTTAGCTCCCACTGTTAAGTGAGAAAATGGGATGTTTGGTTTTCTGTTTCTGTGCTAATTTGCTTAGGATAATGGCCTCCAGCTGCATCTATATTGCTGCAAAGGAATTATTTCATTCTTTTTATGGCTGTGTAGCATTCCAGGGTATATATGTACCATATTTTCTTCATCCAATCCACCATTGATAGGCAGCTAAGTTGATTTCATATATTTGCTCTTGTGAATAGTGCTGCAATAAACATGAAAGTGCACATATTTTTGATAGAACAATTTGTTGTCTTCTGGATATATACCCAGTAATGGGATTTCTGGGTCTAATGGTACTGTTTTAAGTTCTTTGAGTAATCTCCAAACTGCTTTTCACAGTAGCAGAACTAATTTATATTTATGTCAAAAGCCTACAAGTATTCTCTTTTTCCATAACCTCACCAAAATATGTTATTTTTTATTTTTTCTTAAATTATAGCCATTCTTACTTGTGTGAAATTTTATCTCATTGTATTTCTGATTTGCTCTTCTCTTATTAGTAATGTGGAGCATTTTTTCGTATCTTTGTTGGATTATTGTAGGTCTTCTTTTGAGAAATGTCTGTTCATGTATGTCACCCTCTTTTTAACATGGAGTTAGTTTTATTGCTTGTTGAACTGTTTAAGCTCCTTATAGATTCTGGATATTAGGTGTTTGTCAAATGCATAGTTTGTGAATATTTTCTCCCATTCCATAGGTTTCTGTAGGTTGTCTGCCATTCTGTAGGATGTCTGTTCACTCTGTTGACCATTTCTTTTGGTGTGTAGATACCCGTAAGGTTAATTAGGTCCCAATTGTCAATTTTTGTTTTTGTTGTAGTTGCTTTTGAGGCCTTAGTCATAAATTCTTTTCCAAGGCTGATATCCAGAATGATGTTTCCTAGGTTTTCTTCTAGGATTCTTACACTGTGAAGTCTTACATTTAAATATTTCCTCCATCTTGAGTTCATGTTCATATATAATGAAAGGTAGGGGCCCAATCTAGGTATCCCATCACCATTTATTGAAAAGGAGTCCTTTCCCCATTGCTTATTTTGTCAACTTTGTTGAAGACCAGGTGGCTCTAGGTGTGCAACTTTATTTCTTGATTCTCTGTTCTCTTTCATTGGTCTATGTGTCAGTTTTGCTACCACTACCATGCTGTTTACTTTCCTGCAGCCTTACAGTGTAGTTTGAAGTTCAGAAGCATAATGCCTTTAACTTTTTTCATTTTGCTTAGGAATTATTTGACTATTCAGGATCCTTTTTTGGGTCTATAAAATTTAGAATAGTTTTTTTTTTCCTAATTCTGTGAAAAATGACATTGGTAGTTTGATAGGAATGGTGTTGAATCTGTAGATTACTTTGGGCAGTATGGCCATTTTAATGGTATTCATTTTTTCAATGCATGAGCAAGAAATGTTTTCTTCCATTATTTTCTGTCATCTCTGATTCTTTTAGCAGTCTTTATAGTTCTCCTTGTAAGTATTGTTTAACTCTTTAGTTAGATGTATTCCCATGTACTTTTTCTGGCTACTGTAAATGGGATTGTGTTCTTGATTTGGCTCTCAGCTTGAATGTTACTGGTGCATAGAGATAATACCAATTTTTTCGCATTGAATTTGTATCCTGAAACTTTACCAAAGTCCTTTATCAGTTCCAAGAGCTTTTTGGGAGAGTCTTTAAGGTTTTCTTAGCTATAGAATCATATCATTAGCAAAGAGAAATAGTTTGACCTCTTATTTTTCTAATTTGGAATTCTTTTATTTCTTTCTCTTGCCTGTTTGCTCTAGCTAGGACTTTTGGTACCATGTTGAATAGGAGTGGTGACAGAGGTTATCTTAAGCTAGTTCTGATTTTGAAGGGAAATGCTTCCAGGTTTTCTCCTTCAGTATGATGTTGGCTGTGGATTTGACATAGATGGCTCTTATTATTTTAAAAGTATGTTCTTTTAAAGCTTAGTTTGTTGAGGGTTTTTATCATGAAGACATGTTGAATTTTATTGAAAGCTTTTCCTGTATCTGAGATGATTATATTGTTTTTATTTGTAATTCCGTTTGTGTGGTGAATCACATTTATTGATTTGCATATGTTGAACTAATCTTGCTTCTCAGGAATGAAGTCTACTTGGTCATGGTGTATTTACTTTTTGATGTGCTGCTGGATTTGGTTTGCTAGTATTTTTTTTTTTTTTGAGGATTTTTGTGTCTATGTTATTCAGCTATATTGGCCTGTAGATTTCTTTTTTTGTTTTGTCTTTGCCAGGTTTTGGTATCAGAGTGATGCTGGCATTATTGAATGAGTTAGGGAGGATTTCATCCTACTTAATTTTTTGGAATAGATTGCGTAGAATTGGTACCAGCTCTTTGGATGTCTGGTAGAATTCTGCTGTGAATCGACGTGGTCTTGGGCTTTTTTTATTATTATTGGTAGGTTTTTTTATTACTGAGACAATTTGGGGACTCAATATTGATCTGTTCAGTATTTTAATTTCTTCCTGATTCAATCTTAGGAGGTTGTGTGTTTCTAGAAATTTATCCATTTTCTCTATGTTTTCTAGTTTGCTGCATGGAAGTGTTCATAATAGTCTCTGATGAACTTTTGTATTTTTTGAGATGGTAAACCAAATTTACTTTAAAGATAATGGTATATTTTCTCCGCATTACATTTTCTGTTAACCAAGCAAACATATAAAAACACACGTATATATACATACATACCTACATATTATTTCTACCTTGTTTTTCTGAATGCTCTCTCTCTCTTTTTTTTTTTTTTTTTTTGAGATGGAGTCTCGTTGTGTTGCCCAGGCTGGAGTGCAGTGGCCCAATCTCAGTTCACTGCAACCTTCACAAGCGATTCTCCTGCCTCAACCTCCCAAGTAGCTGGGATTACAGGTGCCTGCCACCACACCTGACTAATTTTTGTATTTTTAGTAGAGATGAGGTTTCACCATTTTGGCTAGGCTGGTCTTGATCTCCTGACCTCGTGATCTGACCTATTCAGCTTCCCAAAGTGCTGAGATTACAGGAGTGAGCCACCGCACCAGCCTGTTTTTCTTAATACTCTCTAAAATACACATATTTGGTTTTGAATAATTAACAGAGTTTCATATGATTTCTACTGTTTACATTTCTCTACAAATCAAAGTTAGGAAATTTTCCAAGTGAGCCAAATTCTTCTTCTTCAATTAAATGTCCTAAAAAATATAGCTGGCTCCAAATGAATATAACTATATTTTCATGTTTATATTTATATTTTTACATGTAATCCTTCTTAATTTACCCAGAAGACATCAACACACTGCAATCAAATAGTATAACTTATTTAAACCTGAACATCTTAGAGTCCTCAGTGTAATAATTTATATAAAATTTAAGTATATTAATATATTTTCTATTAGCTATTCATAGGAAGCTTATGCTTTAAACCTAGTTATTTTGAACATCAGATGTTTTCATAGTAAATTTAGCCTTTTTTTTTTTTAGATACTTAAATTTTTAGTTTGACACTTTGGGTCAGACAAGTCTGACAAATTAAATTTTCCCACAAATATAAATCTAAAATTACTTTGGCATATATATGCCAAAATGATTTTAATCGAAATTTATCCTCAAATATTTGTTAAAAATAAATTTGTATAAATATCAAATAATTTTCATATAGGTTCAGATAAAACTAATTAGTTTTGTGTATTTATTATGTGTATAAATCCATTGCATGGTTTTATAATTTACTTCACAGAGAGGCAACATTATACATTTCTCATTTTCAGAAAACAGAAATGCAGAACAAAGGTAATAAACCATGCAACTGAAATTTACTGAGATGTTCTAAACATCGAGTGCAAATAGAAGATAGCCCTTAGTCTTGCAGGTTTAAAAGACATTTGACGATTACAGATATTAAAAATATATTCTATAAGAATACAGATACTATGAAAAGCTCTAGATCCCAATTCCTGATGCCTTCGCACATTTTAGTCCACGTGTCAGAGCATCACCTGCTCTGGGGCAGGATGGCACATAGAAAAGTGTGGTTTAATTTTTTTTTCCTGCCATTCCATTGGGATGGTGATTCTGTAGGAAATAAATTTGTTATATAAAAGTTTATTTCTTGAAAAATATCAATTCAAAGGTTGCAATCTACTCCCAATTCATGTGGGGACTTGGCTTGTCAAACTAAAGGTGTCCAGGATTGCAAATGTGCACAAGTAACATATCAATCACATCTAAAATTGCAACCACTTACTACTGATATAATAACCAAGGCCCTCTTTGAAAATCTATGTGTGGTAATAAGGTTATAATAAGTTATTGACATTTAGGGGATACCAGTGAACTTCTTTGAGACTGAGTTGATCATGTTGTCAACTGATGAATGAATGCTTTAAATGTCTCTGAGTACAGTGTGCTGGCAAAAAGGAAAGAAAAAAAGTGGAAAAAGCTGATTGTTTGATTTTGCTGATCAGAACATATTTTCTAGTTATGCAACAAATAAAAATTTTTTTAAAAATACCTGAAAAGAAAGGACATGAATTTGAGACCCCTACTTTGGACTGAGAATTTCTCAACTGAGTAAAAATCTATCTCGAATGATAAGGCATGGCTCAAGCTCACACTTGACAAGTACAGATGGAATTTACAAATCTAGACTGCCTCTTTTCTACCTTTTTTCTGTATTTGCAGGTGTTACTAGCTAGTATCCTTTCTCCAGATTCCCAACTAGAGCTATATTTCAACATAAATGATTTTTTTGTTTCACCGGGCCTATATAATTCATCAATCTACTAGAGTGTGGGACACCTGAGGGCAGACTATGGCTTACAGAAGGAGACTAAACTCTGTAGAAGAGTAAAAAGTTCAAAGAGATGCATACTCTGCCTTTGGTTAGCAGAGAAAGTAGAAGATTTAATTCTCAAACATTTGTTATGAATTTAGAAAGAGCTTTCATTTCTTTTTTGAGAGGTCATGGTGAATTGTTCCTGTTAAGAGTTCCCAGGTCTGCAAAGGTCAAAGCTAAGGAGAATTTAATCAGGGCGAGGCCTAGGAGCCTTGGAATTTTTTAAGTAACATTGTTTGGTGCCAGTCCAGTCAGGCAAGCATGTATGATCAGTTAGCTCTCATTTTCCTTCCTCCTCCAGGCAAATTCAGTTCAGGAGTGTAAGGAGAATGAGACAAAATAATTATCTTTCATAATTACACTTAGTAGGTACTGGTAACATAGCAGCTTTATTCCTAATCTATTTCCCACTGTGGAAAACTCATAACAGAAAACCTCTTCTCATTTGTTATGTCCAGATAATGGAGCAATAATATCTTAAAAGAGAAACTGTTTTCAGCTGGAACTATGGCTTGTTAAACCAGATGGTTATATGCAAAAACTGAAAACTCAACAAGTCAACTGTTCGGGCACTTTCCTGCTTCTCACCATCTGGCCACCTGTTGTGGAGTTCATCTTATTTTGGGAATGATTCCACCTGATCTAGGGGTAAGCCCAGTAAGAAATAAAATAGGGTAAATAATAGAAAGAGGCAGATATACAGCCAATATCTAAATCCTTTCCTCAAACACTTAGAGACACTGAGAAAAATGTCATTTTCTTAGCATGATGCTGCTTTGCAGGTAACCATTACTGTCTGAAAGAACACAATTAAGATTCTCTGTGGGAGGAAGACATGATAAAGAGAAAACTTTATTTACTAGACAGCTTTGTCGTGAGGGACTGTATCTGGTGTAATAGGTTCTGATTCTAATATGTTTCATTTGACTCCATCTTCTCTTTCTTCTACGGAAATATTTAGATTCCTCTGTGCACAGTTCAGAAAGCAGAATGGGCAGAAGGCAAATAGAATTTTGATGCCAAATACAGCATTATTTCCACATGGCAAGAGGAGAGAATTCACAGAGAGAAAACATATTCTTCAAACACTGGACAGGAGAAGCATGTTGCCAGACAGAAAATAGATTCCTGCCTAGATAGGATGGAGGAAATTGGAAAGAAATGTCTGCAGATTTCCAAAATAGAGAACACTTTCTCTGCTTTCGCAAGCAATGGGCAAAGGCACAGAAGGAAAATCATGAGAAACATCTAGAAAGAGAAAAACATGCCCAACATTCCAAATTGTTTTCCATATACAAATTACAGACAAGATGAAATAGAGATAAACTTGAATAATTTCAAGACTCCTAGGCCTCGCCCTTATTAAATTTCCTTAGCTTTGACCTTTGAGGATCTGGGAGCTCTTAATGGCAACAATTTACCATGATCTCTCAAAAAAGAAAGGAAAGCTCTTTCTAAATTCATAACAAATGTTTGAGAATTAAATCATCTACTTTCTCTGCTAACCAAAGGCATAGTATGCTTGTCTTTGAACTTTCTACTCTTCTACAGAGTTTAGTCTCCTTCTATAAGCCATATTCTGCCTTCAGGTGTCCCATACTATAGTAGCTTAATGAATATAGATTCCTGGTGAAATACAAAAAATCATTTATGTTGAAATATAGCTCTAGTTGCGAATCTGAAGGAAAGATACTAGCAAATAACACCCGCAAATACAGAAAAAAACGACAGAAAAGAGACAGTCTAGCTTTGTAAATTCCATCTGCACTTGTCAAGCTTGAGCTTGAGTCATGCCTTATGACATATTTTTACTCAGTTGAGAAATTCTGAGTTCCAAAGTAAGGGTCTCAAATTTATGCAAGGGGGACGTTTGTCACCATCATTCAATCACCTCCCACCAGTCCACTCCCCTAACACATGGGGATTACAATTCGAGATGAGATTTGCATAGGGACACAGAACCAAACTCTTCCACTTCTGAACCTGAACAATGAGAGCATAAGAAATTATCAGTTGTTAAGGAAAAAAAAAAGTAACCTTTTGACTAGGGTACTGTAAGAAAGGTTTCAGAAAGAAGTACACATCCATCACCTCCAAAAATTTCCATGTTATTTTGTGAAGTTTTTTTTTTTTCTTTTGGTGAGAACACTTAATGTAAGATTTATTCTCTCTCTCTCTATGTGTGTGTGTGTGTGTGTGTGTGTATATATATATATATATATATGCTTTTTTTTTTTTTTTTTTTTTTTTTTAGATGAAGTCTCTCTGTGTCTCCCAGGCTGGAATGCAATGGCACAATCTCGGCTCACTGCAACCTCTGCCTCCTGGGTTCAAGTGATTCTCCTCTCTCCGCCTCCCGAGTAGCTGGGACTACAGGCATGCACCACCAGGCCCAGCTAATTTTTTTGTATTTTCAGTAGAGACGGGGTTTCACCATGTTGGCCAGGCTGGTCTTGAACTCCTGACCTCAGGTGATCCACCCACCTCAGCCTCCCAAAGTGCTAGGATTACAGGCGTGAGCCACCACGCCTGTGCTCAACATATTTTAAAGTACACAACACTCTATTGTTAACTGTTGGCACTATATCATACAGAGATCTCTAGAATTTATTCATCTTGAATCTTAGTCCACTCCTGCTGGTATAAAAACATACCACAAACTGGGAATTTATTAATAGCAGAAATTCATTTCAGACGTTTCTTGAGACTGGGTAGTCCCAGATCAAAGTATTGGCAGATACAGTGTCTAGTGAGGGTCTCTCTCTGCTTCCAAGATGGTGTCTTGTTGCTGTGTCTTCACATGGCAGAAGGTGGAATGGCAAAGGAGAGGAACAGCTCCATTATACATCTTTTTTTTTTCTTTTCTTTTCTTTTCTTTTAGACGGAGTCTCTCTCTGTCACCCAGGCTGGAGTGCAGTGGCACAATCTCGGCTCACTGCAACTTCCGCCTCCGGAGTTTACGCCATTCTCCTGCCTCAGCCTCCTGAGAAGCTGGGAGTACAGGTGCCCGCGACCACGCCCGGCTAATACATATATATATATATATATATTTGTATTTTTAGTAGAGACGGGGTTTCACCGTATTAGCCAGGATGGTCTCGATCTCCTGACCTCGTGATTTGCCCGCCTCGGCCTGCCAAATTACTGGGATTACAGGCGTGAGCCACTGTGCCCGGCCCATTAGATATCTTTTATAAGGTCATTAATCCCATTTATGAAGGCAGAGTGAGCCCCTCTAAAGACCCCACCTATTAATATTATCGGTTTGGGGATTGTGTTTCAACATATAAATTTTGGGAGGACATTATTCATACCATGGCATCTTATATAACAGATATTTTATATTCACTGAAGAATAATTGCCCACTTCCTCCTCCCCCAGCCCCTGACAACCTCCACTCTATTCTCTCCTTCTATGAGTTTAACTATTTTAGATATTTTATGTAAGTGGAATCATACAGTATTTGTCCTCCTTTGCTTGGCTTATTTCACTTAGCATAACGCCCTCCAGTTTCATACATGCTGACACGAATGGTAGGATAAGGCACAAATGGCGGGCTGAGTAATGTTATGTTGTAGGTAACATATTTTCTTTATCCATCTATCTATTGACGGACTTTTGGTTTGTTTCTATATCTTGGATATTAAAGATAGTCCTGCAACAAAAATAATGTGGCAATGAACATTGATGTATATCTCTTCCAGATCCTGATTGCAATTTTTGGATGTATACTCAGAAATGAGATTGCTGGATAGAATGGTAGTTCTATTTTAACTTTTTGAGGAACCTTTATAATGTTTATTATAGTGACTGCACCATCCTACATTCCCACCAACACTGTATATAAGTGATCCAATTTCTCCAAATGCTTGTACCACTTGTATTTTTTTTTTTATTTGAGATGGAATCTTGATCTTGTCACACAGGCTGGAGTACAGTGACATGATCTCGGCTCACTGCCTCCTCCGCCTCCCGAGTTCAAGCGATTCTCCTGTCTCACCCTAACGAGAAGCTGGGATTACAGGCGCCAGCCACCAGGTCCAGCTAATCTTTGTATTTTTAGTAGAGATAGGGTTTCACCATGTTAGCCAGGCTGGTCTCGAACTCCTGACCTCAGGTGATCTGCCAGCCTCGGCCTCCCAAAGTGTACCACTTGTCTTTTTTCTTTCATTATAGGCACCCTAGCAAATGTGAGTTTTGATCGGAATTTCCCTGATTAGTGATATTGAGCATCTTTTCATATAACTGTTGGCCATCTGTAAATGTCCTTGGGGAAACGTCTATCTATATCTTTTGCCTAATTTTTAATCAGGTTGTTTCATTTTGTTTTGTTTTCTGCTATTGAGGTGTAGGAGAGTCTTACGTATTATAAATATTAACTTCTCATTAAATGTATGGTTTGCACAGATTGTCTCCCATTCCACAGAATAGCTTTTAACTTTGTTGCTTGTTTCCAGTCTTGTGCAGAAGCTTTTTAATTTAATGTAGCCTCACTTGTCCATATTTGTGCTTGCTGCCTGTGCTTTTGTGTGGAATCCAAGAAACTATTGTCAAGATCAATGTCAAGAATTTTCACCTGTGTTTTTTCAAGGAGCTTTACAGTTCCGGGTCTTCCAGTTAAGTCTTTACTGCATTTTGAGTTGATTTTTGTGTATGGTATAAGATAGGCATCATGTTCATTCTTTTGCATGTGGATATGCAGTTTTTCCAATACCATTTGTGGATCACACTTCCTTTCCCCATTGTGTGTTCTTGCCATCCTTGTAAAAGATTAGTTTCTTATATGTACATGGGATTATTTCTGGGCTCTCTCTTCTCTTTTTTGATATAGATGTCTATAGTATTACATGTATATGCAGATGTCTAAACTCATCAAGATATATACATTAAATGTGTAAAGTTTTTTGTATAGCAATTATACCTCAATAAAGCAAAAAAACAAATTTAACTCTTCTTACATAAGAGAGGAGCATTCTACATTAAATCAAATGTCATTCCTGGCCATAGTTATATATATGTGTGTATATATATTATATAATATATTTATACACACATATATGTGTATATAATATATATATATATATTCCTATACGTATATTAATGTTCAATGCTTGAGAAATCTAATCCACAATGTTAGAAATCAGAGTCATTAAGCTACTCTTTGACGCTATGTTTGGTTCTCTGAAAATTACCTTTTTCTTTATACCAGCTGACTTTATAATTGAGAAAGGAGTTTTATAATTAAGAAAGGAGTCACAGGAAGGAATCAAGGAAGAGAAAAGACTTGCTCCATCCTGTTTGTTTGCTTTCCTCAAATGTTTGCCACATAAATTGCCCTTCGTGCAGGTAGAAGTTATTAATTACCACCTCCAACTTTCCTCTGATACTCCCAGAAATGGCATCTTCAATCACCTTGTGTCTATTATTCGCATTTCTTTTTTCCATTAATGTATATTATATCCTCACATTAACTTCTATGTTTTGACATATCTAACTTCTTTTCTACTTTTGGATAGGACCTGGCTGGGGCTCAGCCTATGGTCCAGGAGTAGCCACAGAAATAGATCCTTAGACATGATATTTAGTAATTTATTTGCATGTATCTTTAGACTTCATGTTAGTTACAGCCAGTGAGAAGTAAGATAACTGCAACTATGGACATGTAGTGGCATTATGAATAATTACTTCTGAAGCAAACGTTTTAGAGAATCATTTGATTATTTCACTTGTCTATTATGTTAAGAATGATTGCTAGGACTGTGAGATATGGTGGCTTCTTCAGTTCACCCCAGAAAACTTAAAAATCAGGAACCCTCCCTCTCCAGCAGGAAAATTGTAATTAGGAGGGAACATGAAGAGAATTGCTATAGTTTTTTAAACTTATTTTTATTAATCTGATTAACAGATAAAAGCATTTGTCTTCTTTGTGAAAATGTATAAATACAATTATTTGTGTACTTTTCTGTACATCTTTCATATTTCAATAACATTCCAAAAAATAGGATATAAGACTAAATTGAAAAAGTTCCCATTGATCATGGTGAGAACAATTGGAGAATAAAAAGATAAATCAGTAATGAATTGAAATTGTGTAATTAAATAAACATTTACTTGAATCCGGGAGAAGAGATACAAAAAATAAGTGAGAAAAGTTTGTTCTTTGCAGTAATAAACCAGTTAATTTTTATTAAACCAGTGTATTTTTATACAACAAATGATGGCATTTTTGAAAATCATCATATTTTAAACGCAATTTAATTATTAGTTCAAGCAAAAAATATCAAGAAATGCTAAGTTATGTGAATGGTTGTTGAGGAACAAGTTATTTACATGGTCTCAAAGAATAATCCAATATTTTGTTTCTTCACTACAAATTGAAAAATATATTCATAATAATGTAATCTGTCTCTTCCTTAACTCAGTGCTCAAATTTGCCATCACCAATATGGGCAGCCTGACATGAATACTGTACAGCAGGAATTAAGCAACATCAGCAATGCAGTATCTTTGCAGAAATTATTGACCAGAATATAGAAAAAAAGAAAATTTAATTCCCAAAACAAGACACTCTAAGATGCTCTTCAAGGTAACTGGCCTGGACTCTTTGCCTTTAATGTTATGAAGAACACAGAGAAGTAATGGAAATTATTTAGATTGGGGAAGACTAAATAAAGACCTATAACAGAAAAACTCAAGGAATGAAAATGGATTAAAAAATTAAAAGGTAAAGGAAATTGTGCAGCCAACTATGAAATTTGAGAATAGATATTTTGCTTGATTATATCATTGCACCACTGTTTACTTTTGTAGGCAATTCATGGTAATTTGGTTGTATTTTCATAGGAGCTAATACCCTTTACCTCTGAGAGGTGGATGGTGAAGTATTTTGGAGTGTGAGGTTCTGATGTCTGCAGTGATCTGCCAGAAGGAAAGATATACACCAGTGAAACAAGTTTGGCAAGGTTTTAACCATTTATTCATTTGTGTGAAGGATGTGTGTGTATTTGTTATTATTCTTTTAACTTTTCTGTACATTTGGATCGTAATGAAGAAAAATAAATAATTGAATTAAAAATACACACACTCGAATTTTACAATTTTTATCCTCTCTCAGAACTTTTAAATTTCATTTGTATTAAGGAAAATTATTCAATGCAAAAGATTACCTTAAGACGCAATACTTTGCCTTCACAACTTTCTCAGTGATTTCATACTTTATGTCATCCTAAAACAAATGCATGTACTTCACAGATAAATACCAACTCAAAGTTTCTTCATAAAAAGACAAATGAATGTAAAGAAGTTAAAACTAGATATAAAATAGAAAACTTCAGGTTCTTTTATTAATTTTAACCAGTTGATGAAAATATAAATGCTTATATTTTAAAAGGGCATATATATGCTACAAAGCTTAATATTTATCTTCTTTATTCACTTCATTCTTTTCTAACATTGTGAAAATGTTAAATTTTTCTTTACAAAAAGTTTGTTATAAATATATGAATTAATTGATTTAGCATTTAGACAATTCTAGTAATAGTCAATTAATATCTTATTCCAGATTTATCAAAAGTCTACAATGGTTTAGAAAAAATATAGAAAGAAATATTTTTCAAGGTTGAACTGACTATACAAGGTAAGAACTTAAATGATATATATTTACAGTTTTGAAGGTAATAATGCATATTTCAAGAAGACACTTTGACATCTAAACACAAGCATTTTACATATGATGGACAGTATTACAATGGGCAAACAGAATTTTAAAAAAATATATATTGGATACTTTTCTTTGCAAACAAAGTAAAATTGACTGTTTATTAAAAATATTTTGGTTTTAGTTAGTATTTAGTAACTCATATGACCATCAATTACACTATAACCATGAAATCAAGCCCGACTACCTCAGTCGGTGGAGCATGGGACTCTTCATCCCAGGGTTGTGGGTTCGAGCCCCACATTGGGCACCAGATGAAGGGGTGGCCTGCCCCTCCACACCTGTGGGTATTTCTAGTCGGGTGGGATGAGAGACTGAGAAAAGAAAGAAGACACAGAGAAAAAGTATAGAGAAACAACAGTGGGCCCAGGGGCTGCATACCAAGGACCTGCACTGGCACTGGTCTCTGAGATCCCTCAGTTTTTATTGATTATTATCTTCATTATTTCAGCAAAAAGGAATGTAGTAAGAGGGCAGGGTGATAATAAGGAGAAGGTCAGCAACAAACATGTGAGCAAAAGAATCTACATCATAACTAAGTTCAAGGGAAGGAACTATGACTGGACGGGCATGTAAGCCAGATTTATGCTTCTCTCCACCCAAACATCTCAGTGGAGTAAACAATAACAAAGCAGCAATGCTGCAAACATGTCTCACCTCCCACCATAGGGTGGTTTTTCTCTGATCTCAGAATTGAACAAATGTACACTCGGGTTTTATACCGAGACATTCACTTCCCAGGGGCAGGCAGGAGACAGTGGCCTTCCTCTATCTCAACTGCAAGAGGCTTTCCTCTTTTACTAACCCACCTCGGCACAGACCCTTTACAGGTGCCGGACTGGGGGACGGTCAGGTCTTTCTCATCCCATGAGGCCATATTTCAGACTATCACATGGGGAGAAACCTTGGCCAATACCCCATTTTCAAGGGCAGAGGTCCCTGCGGCTTTCCGCAGTCTATTGTGCCCCTGGTTTATTGAGACTAGAGAGTGGCGATGACTTTTACCAAGTATACTGCTTGTAAACATTTTGTTAACAAGGCACGTCCTGCACAGCCCTAGATCCCTTAAACCTTGAGTTCATACAACACATGTTTTTGTGAGCTCCAGGTTGGGTCAAAGTGGCTGGGGCAAAGCTACAAATTAACAACATCTCAGCAAAGCAATTATTTAAAGTACAGGTCTTTTTCAAAATGGAGTCTCTTATGTCTTACCTTTCTACATAGACACAGTAACAGTCTGGTGTCTCTTTCTTTTCCCTACAATATAGGTTACCAAATCAGAGCTATCTCCTTCCTTTCACAGAACTAAACATTTACAAATTTAAGTAAAGTAAATTCTAGAAAAAGAATGCCCCTTTATAGGAGATAAGAGTCTCTTTGCTATTTTCATTTTGGGAGCATAATGGACAGAGTCCTGAATGCACAAGGGAAAAAGAAACCAGATGAAGTTTTATGAAACTTGTAATGGCCATGCATAGGCTAAGTGATGACTTAGAACCTTGAGGATTCCTAGTTACCAAGTGAACCTCCTTCTAATTACCAACAGTAACTCTGATATTCTTCCTTGAGTAAATACAGACAGCATGTCAATAGCTGAGAACCTGTTAGTAAAGACAAAATAGCTCTCTAGAATGTGCAGTGGACTTCTCAGATATAAGGCAACAGCCCAAACCACAGGGCAGGGCAGGAGAGCTGAGACGTAGCACCAAACGAGAGTGGCTTATCCTGAGTGTCAGGCAACGGCCTGCTAAAGGCCAAGAACAGGGAACTGCAGTAACAACAAAATATTTGAGCAACTTAAAAAGAGGGACAGGAGTGGAGCGTGAACAATATACACACACCCAAATATCTGGCAGTGGATTAAAAATCAAAGTGAAATCTTCCATAGTAGAAAAAAATCATATCAGAGTAAGAGTCCTGAGATTCCATTCCTGTTAGAGGGAAGGTCTTAATAATTCTCCTAAAATACGGGTAGTAGGCTAAATCTAACTACAGCTGTAAAAAGGCCAGATACAACTAAGCTGCTGACTAGTTATCGATCATACAATCTAGTAGCCTGTTAGAATATGGAGTATGACAGACAGTTTCTGGAAGTCACATTATTAGTATCAACCTTTAGTGTTTGTTTTTATAGACACTGACCTACATATAAATAAGATTGTGAAATTTGAAAGAAGTACAAAAACATAACCCATAATCAAAAGAGAAAAAGATCAATAGAAGAATATTCTGAAATAATCAAACCAAACATTTAAAATAACTATGCAAAATATTAGATAAATGATCTATTAGAAAGTTACATGGATAAACAGATGACAATTTTTAACACATAAAATGAAGATATAAAAAGCAAATGGGAATGTTAGAACGGAAAAATGAAATAATGTTAATAAAAACATCTGTCATTGAAATTCACAGTGAATTAGATTCAATATAAAAAAGTATCATTCAAATTAAAGCCAGTCTATAAATTATCTATAATTGAAGAGTAAAACAAAAAAATAACAAAAATAAAAATGATAAGAAACAATTAAAAAATCAACAGAATACACAAGACCTGTGGAAAATGTAAAATGGTTTAGCATGCATGTTGCTGGAATACCAGGTGGAAAGCAATGAAAAAACTGAGCATAAGACACATTTGAGGAAACAGTAGCCAAGAATTTTCCCAAAATATTGTACTGCCTTAACTGTGAGATCTAAGATGCTCAGTCTATCCCAATCAGGATAAATGCACAGAAAACTAAACTAAGCATATTATAGTCAAAGGACTGTACATTAAATAAAGGAAGAAATCATAAAAACTGCTGGGCTCTTGGGAAATGGCACACTTTAAAAAATCAAATAAGCAAAATGACACTAAAATCTTACTAGAATAAAATAGAGAAAGAAGACAAAGGAGATAATGGAATAACATATTTAAAGTGCTGAGGACAAAGTAAACTATAAACCTGAAATGTTATATCTAGAAAAAACATATTGCAAAAAGAAGGCAAAATAAAAAGATATTTAAAAATAATTTTTAAAGATATAATTTAATTTTTCTCCAGCAAAGTTGCATTGCAATAATTGATAAAGTAGTTTTTCATTCTGAAGTTATATAATATGAAATCCAAATGTGTAGAGAGAAATACCGCAATTGGTAAACATATGAATAAGGATAACTTATCTGGTCATCAAAAGAAAAAGTGAATTGATAAAACACACTGATAGAAAATAATTATTGTATACATATATGAAAAAACATTCATGTCCAAAATGTGCAAGTACCCCTAGAAAGAACAAGGGAATTTAATAGATAAATATGCAGATAAAAATTGATTATATTTGACTAAATAAGATATACAAATCTTTAGAAAGCCCCTTAAAAGTTGCTGAACATCATTAGTTATCAGACATGAAAATTAAGCCATAAAGCAATTCTAAAAAAGCTATGATCAAGAAGACTGACAATGGAAAATATTGGTGAGGATGTATAACAAATAGAACTCTCATATTTTATTAATGAGAGTGTAAAGTTTTAAAGCTTTTGAGAAGATTTTGGCAATATCTTAAAAATAAAAAATATTTCTATGTCATGACCAAGATACCGTTTTCCTGAAAAAATGAAAATGTGTGTCCACGAGAAATTTGCATCAGCTTTATTCATAATAAACCGAAAAAGGGAAACAAATAAGATTTCAATAACTGCCAATAATCTTAAAATTATATTTTCATACAATGGAATTCTACTTTGTGATAACAATAAATTAATTAGTGGAATATGCCATAACATGGATAAATATTGAAAAATTTACCTTAAAAACATTATAATGAGCAAAAGAAGTAGTTACAGAAACACACATAGTGTATGTACTATACTACATATATTATTTATTGTAGGTTATCTATTGTTGCTTATCAAATCACACCAAAGAACTGTAACTTAAAATAATAAACAGGCTGGGCGCAGTGGCTCATGCCTGTAATCCCAGCACTTTGGGAGGCCAAGGAGGGCGGATTGCCTGAGCTCAGGAGTTCCCAACCAGCCTGGGCAACAGGGTGAAACCCTGTCTCTACTAATATACAAAAAATTAGTTGGGCGTGGTGGCATGTGCCTGTAGTCCCAGCTACTTGGGACTTTTTAAAAATAGCTTTTTTAAACAGTTGGGCATGGTGGCTCACGCCTGTAATCCCAACACTTTGGGAGGCCGAGGCAGGCGGATCACCTGAGGTTGGGAGTTCGAGAGCAGCCTGACCAACATGGAGAAACCCCATCTCTACTAAAAATACAAAATCAGCCGGGTGTGGTGATGCATGCCTGTAATCCCAGCTACTGGAGAGGCTGAGGCTGGAGAATCGCTTGAACCCATGAGGCGGAGGTTGCCGTGAGCCAAGATCGCGCCATTGCACTCCAGCCTGGGCAACAAGAGTGAAACTCCTCGTCTCGGGGCGGGGGGTGGGGTGGGGGGAACCTAAGTATGCATAGAGGTAGTATTCTCTGCTTATTTATGTTTCTATATATTTAATCTATGTATGCATGCATGTATGTATCTATTTGTATCACAGCATTTTAAACCAGATAAAAAGGCTAATTATATTGATAATGTAGATTTTCTGTTCTTGCTCAATACATTCTATGTTCACCCTATAGCAAATACTTCCATCTTTCTAGTGGTATACATATACGTTTATGTGTTTTGTTCTGATTACCTTTTTTTTGCATAAAAACTACCTCAATCTATAACACATTCTTTCATTACAGTCATGGTTTCTCTGTGTCAGGAATTTAGATAGCTCGTTCCTGCTCCACTGTATCTGGGTTCTCATCTAAGTTGACTCAAATGCCTGCGAGTGCCATGAGCTATGTTAATTACTGCTATAATTAACCTAAGGCTTTTTCTTTAACATGTGTGATGCTTGGGCTGGGATTATTCCAAGACTGGACTTAGCTGGGACAGTTGATCAGATTACCTACATTTAGCTTTCCTGCGTGGTTTGGACTTCTCAAAACCTGCTACGGGTTGCCAGAAAAGGAGCAGCAAGAAGAGCCATCAGAAGGATTGTTCCAAAGCACAAGTTTGCCAAGAGATGAAGTAGAAACCCCAAAGCCTTTTATGATCTTTCCTTGGATGTCACTTAGCATTGCTTCTGCCACACCGCAGTAATCAAAGCAGTCAAAGCAGTCACTAGATTAATTTAAGCCTGACTAGATTCAAGAGGAGTTGACAAAAACCTCAACTTTAGATGTGAAGAGTAACAGATAAGTTGCAACCTCTTTTGTTTGTTTGTTTTTGCTTCCACTGACTCCTTGGTAATATAACACTCACATAGAGTGGCACTATGTGCTCACCACCATTTTTGTTCTGCCCTGCATGAAGGTGTTACTTGTATCAGGTCTCTTCTCTTACCTTAATTCAAGGATTATTTTTCTTCTCTGTTGATGGCATTCTTTATTAGACCCTGCACCAATAATTCTGCAATTCCTTGAGTTACCAGAATTATGCTGTTTTCTACATATAATAGAAGCACCCTCTTCTCCAATTCTATGCCCTGCTCTGTGTTCTATCCCCTGAATCACCTATATAGGTCTTCTCAGTTTCATTTTTATACTCCAACCCTACCTCAACCAGATCTTAGAGTCCTTTATAAAAACATCCTTGGGTTTTGTCTATACATGCTTTGCCCAATGAGTGTCAAAAAATGTCACCATTGGGATGAGATGTCGTGCCTAACACAATCCACCCACTTATTCCTCACTACCTTTCAGAAAAAAAAAAATGCCATATGCAAATTTCTCCAAATACTGAAAACAACTTAAGAACATTTGCATTTTCAGGAGATTACTTCCATATACTTCCCTGAAAAAAGACCTACATTATGTATAACACATCTACTATTTCTTTTTGTAAGGATTAAAAACAGGCACATTCCTATCTAATGAGACACTATGCTATCATTTATGGACTTACATCTTGTGGTCAAACAACCTTGCATTCATGGACTTATATCCCAGGGTCAAATAACCTTACAAACATAACAACCAAAAGCTCAATGTTTGTGATTCATATTGTTTACCTTAACAACACAGCAGTGTTATATATGAGTCTCAACAAAATAGACTTGGTAAGTAAATGCAGCAGTGTGCTTGCTTTTGAAAATAAAATAGATAAGCAGCTGACAATCTCATTAACAAAAGTGCAAAAGTACAAATAAAAACATAATTAGAAATGAGAAGTGCAGCATACCAAGTGATATGTGGAAGATTTAAAATGCATTAAATAATACAGGATATAATCAATGCTAATAAATCTGAAAATATAGCTGATTTTATAATACAAGATTTTCATTGCCACAAAAACAGTAGAAACTCCAGATTAGCTATAATTTTCTGTGTATGTGTGTGATATGAACTATGCATATAATATGAATTATATTTCACATAAATATCAAATATTTTATACTCATTTTATGATAATTCCTAAATATTTATTATAAAACTCTTAAACTTGAAAAAATAATACATATGAAACTTATACATATATATGGACATCTATAAGGATACATTACACATAAACATACATAAAATTCTACATACAAATCTTAAATACGTAATGATTAATTAAAAAGATATTTCACAACGTATTCAGAAGCTGTATTCCAGGAAAAACAGGATATTTTAGTATGAAGTTAATTTTAAATAAGGCAGTTTGAAGCAATAGATTCAAATGGAAAAAGAAGAATCTGAATGTATATGAAAAAAGGATGCATTAAAGGTTATTATATGGTTATGACTTCAAAGCAAACTTTTCAATCATCAGAACCCCAAGCTGACAAGAGAGTACTAATTGTTTACTATGGATCTTTGTTTTCTCTTTCTCTATTTTCCTTATTATAGAAAACACCTAAAGGTTTTTTTTTTTTCCCCACCCCCAGACATAAGACTATGCAGAAGAAACCATGTTTTCTGAATTGTCACTTACAGACAGGAACAAACACATGAGGAAATTTTGGATGTAAGTGGAGATTCTCGGTTTGAACTTATTGTGGGGTTTTACATCTTATTCATGTTTGAAAAATCAGTTTCATACATCCTGTTGTTTTCAGTGTAGATGCTTCCATTTGGATCACAACATACAGGGCATATTTTTTTTAGCACCAAAATAGAAAGATTCTGGATCTCTGAAACCATAGAGTAGTAAATCAGTCTTTCACTTTTAAGAAAGCATATTACTTTTCTTAAACATAGGTACAGTTCAGTTTTATTTTTAAAAACATTTAGATCATTGGGAATGAGTGAAATGTGGAATCTTAATGTATCTCAAAATTACAAAGTTGGAACTCAGGAAACTCAAAAGCAGAATAAAAGAAGATAAAATATTTAGAAAGGTGGTTTGGAATGATTTTCAAAAACTGACAATAATGAAATAGAGCAGTTTCCTCTATGTAGCAATTACTATATATATGAATAAATTAAAGCTACACCATGTTATTCAACACATATTATTAGTAAAGACCATTTCCATGCTGTTCTTAAAAAAAATGCATATCTAACATCTAGCCAATAATAATGATAATTCTTGTGGCCCTG
Organism: Homo sapiens; assembly: GCF_000001405.40. NCBI lineage: Eukaryota > Metazoa > Chordata > Mammalia > Primates > Hominidae > Homo > Homo sapiens. The sequence goes on along the minus strand of NC_000005.10, from coordinate 26,191,109 downwards.
ATCATTTGCTATTTGCAGAAAACAATATAAACTTTATTTTTTGTAGAAATTATTATAAAATTTGATTTTGAATGACAAATCATGTAAGATAGATTTTAAAAAACATGGTAAAATAAAGAATTACTCTTTAGGATAGAAAATTTGTTTTATTATCCACTATAAAATGGATAATTTTATGACATGCATAAAATTTTAAAAGTAAACATTATGCAGGTCAAGTAGTTTGTAACAAGCATAAAGTCATGTTAAACAACTGAGACTTATTTTACACATTTTTATACTACAAAAGAAAACAAAGTTTAAACTCATGACTGTATCATTGGGTTTTCCTTGATAAAAAATAAGCCTTGACTTATGTGAAGATTAAAAAAGCAGACTGCAATTTAAATCATTAATTGAAACTTTAATGATAGCAATAAGAATAAAAATAATACAATCCAGAATTTTTGCTAGAAATAGAGATCTCTTCGTTCCATAAATAGCCCAAAATTTAAATGAGTTACAAGAAGATGAGACTTGAATTGAATTGTGCCAATTACAATGACATTCTTTAGAACAATTTAAATATTCCTTATAACATATTCTGGATTCTCTAAAACAAAGGTACCCAACCCCCAGGCAGAGCTCCGTATGACAATCTAATGCCTGATGATTTGGCATTAGTAGAACAGTTTCATCTTGGAAACCTTCCCTCCACCCTCCAATCCCCCAACCCCATCTATGGATAGATTGTCTTCCACGAGACATTTGGCACCATCCTTGGTGCCAAAAGGGCTGGGGCCACTGCTCCAAAAGTTAAAACAACTTGATGAATTACATATCAAAGATGAGCTTACCACTTCTGTTAGACAATCAAAGAGAAGAATTACTAAAAACTATTAAAGCAAATACATTTAAATAAACAGTGCATAGTACTCACAAGAACAATGAAATAAGACACACCCTTTATGAAAAGTGGCAAATCATTTTCTTTATTGGGAAAAATATTCTGTCATTTAATTTGAACTCTTTATCTGTTATGATAATGTACACTCAAAAAAAGGATGTCTAAGTTTTATTGTTTAATTTTTAATAGGTTGAAACATTTTTAAAAAAGAGAAAATTATTTTTAATAGAAAACAATGCATATGAAATATTCGACATAATTATATTCCAATAAAATATAAGAAAATTAGAACAACAGCATGAAACGTTCATAATACCATGGAAAAGAAAATTCACATAACTAATCCCAAAATAAAAGTTTAAAGAGACAATGATCTGGCTTTTTTAGATCAACGTATAGTCTTAAATAAAAGAAAGTTTAAAGAGACTATAAACTGGCTTTTTTAGATCAAGGTATAGTCTTAAATAAAAGAAAATGTAAACATATAGACAAAATACTTCTCTTTAAAATGTTTTATTTATATAATCCTAGTATAGAAATTCTGAAAGACAAATTATTTAGTACAGCATGGATTAGGTATTCAGAATCAGCTATCCTCTTGATGCAAGTTATTTTGATCTACGTACTAAAATTAAAATAAATCAATAATGATAATTATATAAAATATTTGAAGATTCAGGGTTAGCTTCTGAATCTAAATATTGCTTATGAATGCTGTTGAAATTTAGTTGCAATCTTAGCAGAAAAAGTTTCTCAAAATTAAAAGTATTAAGACAATTTTGGGAGCTAAAATAACTCAAGGCATTTTTAATTTGGTGATAAATCAGTGTAACTAAATCATGGGAAAGCCTCATTATAATATAATTAGTAGATTTTGTGAAAATGAAGGCAATATAAAGTATGTTAACTTACAAATTTTCCTCATTTTATTTTATTCTTATCCAACCACTGCCTTTGCATCAATAGAACACCTAGATATCTGTAGTAGATCTTAATACACTGGCTCCCTTAGCCAGAAAACATACTTTACAAACAGTTAAGGATACATAATAAAAGTATCCAATATTAGTGTCATCACAACTTTTAGATAAAAAGTCAATTAATTCAATAATTGTTTGACTTTTTTCATCCAATTAATGCAAATGAATTGAAGCTTCTGGGAATTCATTATGTCAATGATAAAATATCCTTCATTTGTGGAAATATTAGTCTAAAAAGTTAATATTAAATAAAAAATTGTTTTGCACTAATATGAATGCAAATTTTGTGCTAATATAAATGTAAATTTTGATAGAACACAGCGTCATATTTTAATGTGTTTTATTAAGGATCTTATAAAGGAAAAGTTTACTTTGGATTGGCAGTGATATAAATATACAGTTTATAACTGCCTCAAAACCCCTGTAATGTTTTACCTATTGTAATAAACTGGATAGCTATAGACAAAAGCATATTTTATGTATGCACAGTAACAGAATATGAACTATGAAACTTTTATCATAATGCAGTATGAGGTAAAAAGCATGACAGCCAAGTATTCTCTCTTTGATGCCTATATTCAATTTGAAAAAAAGTCACTTTAAAATAAGTCTCAGTGTCCTACAATAGCATAGAACTGGTAGTGAGCTGGCTCTTTTCTAAAAATAAGACTAAAAAAGAAAGTTAGCGATGGCATCTCACTATATTTCCTAGGCTGGCCTCAAACTCATGGCCTCAATGGATCCTTCTGCTTCAGCCTCTAGAGTAGTTGAGACCACTGGTGCACATCACTGCACTAAGCTGAAGTGACTGTTTTGTAAATAAATTTGATTTAAAAGCAAAATAAATGCCGGGTGCAGTGGCTCACATCTGTAATCCCAGCACTTTGGGAGGCCAAGGCAGGTGGATCACCTGAGGTCAAGAGTTCCAGACTAGCCTGGCCAAGATGGTGAAACCTCATCTCTACTAAAAATACAAAATTTAGCTGGGCATGGTGGCAGGCGTCTGTAATCCCAGCTACTCAGAAGGCTGAGGCAGGAGAATCGCTGGAACCTGGGAGGTGGAGGTTGCAGTATGCCGAGATCACACCACTGCACTCCAGCCTGGGTGACAGAGCTAGACTCCGTCTCAAAAAACAAATAAAAACATAGATAGTTAGATAGATAGATAGATAGATAGATAGATGATAGATAGATAGATAGATGATAGATAAGCAAAATAAAAAAGTGCTAGACATTTTAAAGTATTAAAAAATTGTGCATCAAAACTTAGGTTTGAATCTTTTAGTTAATAATACTTGTTAAAGCTTGCAACTTGGAAGAAACTAAAACACAGTCTTAAAAAAATGAGAAAAGAAAAAATATTAAAATAACTTTTAAAACAGTGTACAGAATTTTATTATAAAATTTATAATTGTGCTTTGAAATATTTCAACTTGTGAGAGAAATCTTTTGATGGAGTTCTTTTTAATTGAATAAATTATTGTAATGCCAATTTACTGAAATACAAACAGAGCTACACATTTCACAGAATCTAAAGTCAAATGACAGAGTGAATCTATTTTAGAAGTTTCCTTTATAGAAACATTTTTCTGAAAGGTTTTTAAAGTTTGTGAATGGAGATATAAAGTCCTATGAAAATATCTAATCTGAAATATTTACAAATTTCAATATGAAAAATATTAGAATTAAGAATATGCTCCATGTAGCAGAATTTGCTCTCAGTGTTATAAGGTATTTGTTTTCTAAGGAAAGTATATCACTAGCTTTAAAGTATTATGCTTATAAAATAGAGTAATTTGAAGATGGCAATGATTTTAAGTGCACACTCAAGAAGATTGCTGATAATTTTAATTTGAGAAATTAAAATATAAGGCCATATTGAATGCATTTATTTATCAGAAGATGCCAGCGAAAGTATACATAAAAATAGTGCCTGAATATGTATCAGAAATAATATTCTTCTTTTATATTTTTGTCAACATTTTAATTTACAAAATTTGATGTATATGTATCCTACTTTTTAGCAAGTTTTCTTTTCTGTTTTGTTCATAAGTGCATGTTTTTATTTTTTTAGAAATAAATTTATCTTTATAATAGTTGTTGACTATAATTATTTAATTAGTTCAAAACAATAATAGAACCAATTTATCAATTAACAAACTAGTGTTTCAAATATTTTGCCATTTTAGTTATTTTTATTTCCCTGTTTCTCACTGTCTATGTTTGGAAAATAAATTACGTGGTTCAAGTCCATTTCTTACTTTCTGTTTATCAGTTTCAATCAAGTCTTATTTTGTAGTCTAACATCTGAAGATCCATTCCAAATGGATTATTTCATCTGCTAGTAATATTAATCAAGTCCTGCATTTCCTTTGTAAAATATTTTTTATCTGAATTAGGGAGTGTATTTCTACCCTTGCATTATGTTGAGTCCTGTCCATAATTATTAGTGTGGAAGCAATGTGGGTTGATGAAGATCATCACAAAATCTCTTTCCTTGATGTCAGACCTTTGCAGAGTCTTCAGGCACAAAGAAGCTGATCTCTAACAGATGGTTGGGAGTTCATTCTGTTCTCCTGGATAGTTAAGGGTAAACTACGGAATTTAGATCCAGAATTCTATTTTGAGGTGTCTGCTCCTTTTGGGCTACTTTTAGCACACACTTCATTAATTGTAATTCCACCCAAAACAGAACCTTGGTACCTGGTCTGATTTGTATATTTGGAGGCTGAGATAGAGGAAGGCCACTGTCTCCTGCCTGCCCCTGGGAACTGAATGTCTCGGTATAAAACCCGATTGTACGTTTGTTCGATTCTGAGATAGGAGAAAAACTGCCCTATGGTGGCAGGCGAGACATGTTTACAGCAATTCTGCCTTGTTATTCTTTACTCCACTGAGATGTTTGGGTGGAGAGAAACATAAATCTGGCTTATGTGCACGTCCAGTCATAGTACCTTCCCTTGAACTTAATTATAACATAGATTTTTTTGCTCACATGTTTTTTGCTGACCTTCTCCTTATTATCACCCTGCTTTCCTACTACATTCCTTTTTGCTGAAATAATGAAAATAATAATCAATAAAAACTGAGAGAACTCAGAGACCGGTGCCGGTGCAGGTCCTTGGTATGCTGAGCGCCAGTCCCCTGGGCCCACTGTTGTTTCTCTGTACTTTTTCTCTGTGTCTTATTTCTTTTCTCAGTCTCTCGTCCCACCCGACTAGAAATACCCACAGTTGTGGAGGGGAAGGTCACCCCTTCAATAAGCACAATTTAGGTCTACAGATTGCTTCAGATGATCCTGCCTCTTTGCTCTGAGAAACTCCCTCCTTTATTGCCTGTAGCCTGGGCATAGTAGTGGTTTCTGTCGTTGCCAATATCTCGGTTTTGGCATCATCTCATCTGGCCTCTGATTCTCCATTGCCTGGTTAACCAGATTCCTGAATCATATTCACCCACTTGTTCTTGCCCTTATATCCATCCACTGAACCTCATTTACTAATGGCACCAAGGTCACTCACGTTGTCAAGCCCTTATTCATTCTTCAACTTAGTTCTAATTAACATTTTATATTGTTGATGACAGCCTGCTTTTGAAACAACTTCCTTCATTGCATTCACTGAACACGTTATATCCATTGATACCATTCTCTCTTAGCCTCCTTCACAGGAGCCCTCTCCTCTACCAGCCACTTAACCTTGATCATCATCAATACTCAGCCTTAAACCTCACTGGTCATTATACAAACGCAAATAAAAATTACAGTGAGATACCATTTCACACTAGTTAGAATGGTGATCATTAAAAAGTCAGGAAACAACAGATGCTGGAGAGGATGTGTTGAAATAGGAATGCTTTTACACTGTTGGTGGGAGTGTAAATTAGTTCAACCATTGTGGAAGACAGTGTGGTGATTCTTCAAGGATCTAGAACCAGAAATACCATTTGACCCAGCAATCCCATTACTGGGTATATATCCAAAGGATTATAAATCATTCTATTATAAAGACACACGTGTGTGTGTGTGTGTGTGTGTGTGTGTGTGTATGTTTATTGCAGCACTGTTCACAATAGCAAAGAGTTGGAACCAACCCAAATGCTCATCAATGATAGACTGGATAAAGAAAATGTGGCATATAATCACTGTGGAATACTATGCAGCCATAAAAATGGATGAGTTCATGTCCTTTGCAGGGACATGGATGAAGCTGGAAACCATCATTCTCAGCAAACTAACACAGGAACAGAAAACCGAACATTGCATGTTCTCACTGATAAGTGGGAGTTGAGCAATGAGAACACAGGACGCAGGGTGGGGAACATCACACACCAAAGCCTGTTTGGGGGGTGGGGAGCTAGGGGAGGGATAGCATTAGGAGAAATACCTAATGTCCATGATGGGTTGATGGGTGCAGCAAACCACGATGGCACATGTATACCTGTGTAACAAGCCTGCATGTTATACACATGTATCCCAGAACTTAAAGTATAATAATAATAATAAAAATGCTAGACTCAGACACTGATTTATGTCATAAACGCACTGTTGCTTTCCCCTTTTGATTTTGCCTTAAAATACTGGCTGAATTCCATTTGTTTAGTCTTCAACTCCATCTGGTACCCTGGCTCTCTCTAAACTGGTCTGTTTTTCCCATGATAGATACATTTTTTCACTAAGCAGCTAATGGTCTGCATTTTATCCCATTATGCTTTGGTCATCTATATGATTGTCAACCAACTCATATTTCCACAGAATACCAACATCAGTGCCTAAGAATTTAATTTCTCTAATAACTATCTAAAGATTGGGTTGGCGTATAAGCAAACACTTTTAAAGTATTATCTTTAAAGAAACATAACTCCAACAAACACACTAAGACAGGCACTCAGTTGTTTTATATTTTGACTCAATGCTAGCGTTGGCAGAAAGTATATTTCCTGCTTTGGGTAAAACTTTTTATTTTTATTTCTATTTTTTTAAAACTAGATTAATTTTTCTAACCAGTCAATATTGAGTAAATGAGCTAAATATGAAATAGGTGGCTTTGGGATTTATCTCTATTATACCATTGCTATAAATTTTCAATCTTACAATGAAAAGAAAGCTCACTTTGTGGGTAAGTTTGAAGGAGGAGGAAAGACTGTGGTAAACCAAAATGTTTATTTTAAAACAAATTTCCTCAAGTTACAAGTGTTTCATTTAACCTCTGCATATGACCTGCTTTTTACTGGCAAGAATTACATTTCTGTAAGGGAAAAACTGTAAAAATCTATTTTGATGTTTATTTATATTGACCTATGAAGTAAAAAATATCAAGTATTACTGTTCTTCTAAAATAGACATGCTACAAAAATGCTTTTCTGTGCCTTGGATGTAAAAGAAATGTCCTATGATCAAACATAAGTTATTTTGATAAAACAAAATTGAAGCTGTCACAGTAAGTTTTGAAATATAGTCCATGCCATTAATAGTTAAACGCATGCAATTTAAAAATAAAATGTACTTTCTAATTTATTACTGGAGATATTAATTCAAACCTACCAGGAAGATATCCTTATTCCACGAAAAGAGGACATTCCTATTTTGAAGATAGTCTTTTTGGTAGAATTTTAAATTTAATTTGAAATAACACTGATTCAAAATAAAACAGAGTGACTATTGGATATCAGAGGTGAAGTTCAGAAATAACAGCTATTTTGCTTCCCCCTCATCCTCCTATGGTATCGTCCCCCAGAATGTATTGAGTCATCTGTCAGATAGCAGATAATCAATTTGACTCCTGTTGACTCATTTACAATAGATAGATAGATAATAAAATCATTATTGTGTGAACATTTAAAGATTAGAACAAATGAATTCGTTAAAGATTTCTGCTACCTTTAACATCACTGATTCTTTGGTCAAACCTATTCCTATTGAAAAAAATATTTGTTTCGGAACAGAAAACCAAACACCGCATGTTTTCATTCATAAGTGAGAGTTAAACAATGACAACACATGGACACAGGGAGGGGAAATTCACACACCAGGGCCTGTCGGGGGATGGGGGGCAACGGGAGGGAGAGTATTAGGACAAATACCTAATGCACATGGGGCCTAAAACCTAGACGACGGGTTGATTCGTACAGCAAACAACCGTGGCACATGTATACCTATGTAACAAACCTGAACATTCTGCATATGTATCCCAGAACCTGAAGTAAAATAAATAAATACATAAATAAACAAAGAAATAAATAAATAAGGAAATATTTGTTTCAAGGTATCTTTTCTAAGTTCCAATTCCTTGCCAAGCATTTCAAAAAAGGTTCACAAAATAAGGTAGATCTTTAAAAATAAATTACAATTATTTATTTATTTATGGCAAGACATATTTCATTATGTTTTTTAGGAGATGCCAAGTGTAGTTTTTCACAAGAACGTTTAAAATCCTCATTTACAACATTTATTTGAAGTTATTTTTGCATATATAACAAATATATTTGTAAATCATGATAAAAATGTAAATTTTATCCGATGTAAATATTGCTTCTTTCTTATAGTGGAAGGGCAATACAGGGGGTCTCTTATTTCTCACTTTCCTTTTTTCAAAAAGAATTATTTCAGAGGAATTTTTACAGTGGAAAGACAGGAATTCTTCCATTGTAAAAATGGAACAGTTAGTGGAGAAAGAAGCAAGAGACAATAAGAAAATGAAAGTATTTTATTCAGTATAGTAAAATCAAATAAATCCAAACTAAACAAAATGCAAACACTTCAGGATAATATAACTCATGTTGATCTTAGTGCTTTTGTACTCTGAGAAGGCCGGAATCTCTGAAATCACAGATAAATATGTATCAATATTTACAAAGTAGCCATCTTTCATGTATGTGGACCTTTTAAAAACACCATGTATAACCTTTAGCAATTTATACGAATAGCTTATACTGTAAAGTAAATGTTATTCTTTTATGGTTTTTAAAAGAATGAATTCTAGAACCAGACTGCCAAGGTGAAATCTGAGTTGTAACACCTGCTGTTTTTTATTTGTTTTAGTGAACCTGAAAACAGTGTATTCCCACCTAAACATGAAGGTGATGAGAAGGTAAACACACACACACACACACACACACACACACACACACACACACACATACAGAGACACATCTTGTTTTAAATAATATTTGGCACATGGTAGGTACTATATAATGTGTTATAATCAATACTTTATCAACTGAACTATTATCTCTCAGGGAATGTCCAAAGTAATATATTGTTGAAGTTTAATTTAAAACTAAACTTCTGATGTTTTATGGCTAAGGAAAATATAATTCAATTAAAAGAGAAAATTATATATAGACATATGAATGTAATTGAAAAGCATGTTTATGATAAAACTAACAGTTTTATTTAGAAACAGGTGATAGCATATGCTTTCAAAACCACAAAGTTAATATAAAGTTGTTCATAATGACATCACCATTCTGATGCTTCATTGTCCCCACATTATCTTGTTGCTAAAATTGTTTTCATTTTGTTATATTGCAACTCTGACTATAAGGGGATAATTTTACTTTGATGACTATTTTAAAAGTAAAAGCTAAGATGCGATTGGTGATTTCATTAAAGTTTCTGAGTAAAAATACAAACTTTATGATTTTGCCCCAAGAACTGCATAATCAATAATGGCTATACTTACACTGGATAGTGCAAAAATGAAACTTTAATATTATTATTAAAGCAATATACTTTGTGGCACTACATTTGAGTACAATAGATTTTTAAATCCATGAAATTAAAATTTTTTTTGTATTGAAAATGAAGCTTTCCTTACCTTGTACCTAATTTAGCTAATTCTAATAAAGATAAAATTTAGACAGAGATACAAATCGGGATAAGGATACATGTAAGAATAGAGATAGAAACTTATGCATATGCAATACAAAAAAACAGACAATGTCTTCATTTTACTTACCATCTTGTTTGTAGTAAACTCTTTTTGGACTGTTATTCGATGGGTCAACTTTAGTGGAAACTGCATGATTCCAGAAGCCTTTAGCTTTTTATTATTACTATTATTATTAATCATAATTTTCACCGATTTCTCCTAGAATCCTAGAAGAAAAGTTCCTGTCATATTGTAGAGTTCAGTAACTTTTTTTGAATAAACAAATGAAATTTAAAAAAAACCCTACAGGTTAGCTTTCTAGGTACAAACATTCTGCTGTTCAAATTATACTAGAACATATAAATTCTGAATCTTGTGATTGATACTTTATAATATCACTTGCTCTAAAGCATTAACAATGCATCAGGCTGGGCCAGGTCTCAGAGAGCAAGTGAGAATGTCTTTTTTTTTCTATTACATTCCTGGGGCTGCCATAACACAGTACCAAAAGCCAGGTAGCTTAAAACAACCGGAATATATTACCTTGTAGCTCTGGAGATGAGAAGCCCCAAATCAGGGTGTCAGCGGGCCATGCTGTCTCTAAAACCTGGAGGAGAAGGTATCCCTCTTTGCTTCTTTCTATTTCTGCTTGCCTTAGACATTTCCTTGGCTTGTGCCAGGAGGCATAATTTATATGTTTGCCTCTGACTTCATAGGGAGTTTGTCCTCTGTCTTCTCACATTGTCATCCCTCTTTCGTGTCTATTTGGGTCAGGGGTTAGGACTTCAATATGTCTTTTTTGTGGGGGTGCAGAATTCAGACCATGACAGGCTTCAACGCTTATAAAGGAGGATGGTTTTCTTCCCTAGCTCAGCTCCAGTAAGTAGATCTACTCAGTTATATAATTATATTTGAAGCAGGAGGCCACGCATGGAACATTGGAGTTATCGAGATGAGACATGGCAGAAACTCAATGAGTATTTCTTGATGAATGAATGAGTCAGTTACATGTTGTTATAAAATAGAATCATGACATTTTAAAAACAATGGAGTAAATCGTAAAGTGCTACACATATTTTATAAAAAGTTATAACAATTGTGCATTTTAACAAGTTCAAGTTCAAAATACTAACTCTATTAGGCCTTTGATAGATTTTCAGACAGGTTGAACAATATATGCAGGTACACTATTAATTCAGGATTTCATTTTTCACAAAAAAATGTAAATTAGACTTTATGCCTGCATACATTGCACTGTCTGCCAAATTATAAAGTGGTCATATGTCAAAGCTTCACTTAATTTTGTGTAGTTTGATATGACATTTTCTAGGGTTTTCAGAATTCAAAAAAGGAGGTAAATTTGAATTTTAGATAACTACAAATAAATTTTAATATAAATATGCCCTATGAAATGTTTATCAGTAACACTCTTTGTTTCCTTCACTGTGTAAAGTGATTTACTCTTTATTTTTAATAAGAACACATCTTTTAAAAGCAGCGGTAAGCTAAACCTATTCTTAATGATATAAGAAAAAGCAAACAGAAATACAATTAGCAGAAAATAAACCTTCTTACGCTTTAAGATAACCTTTTTTCTTATGAATCACCTTAAGAATTTAGAACTTCATGGCAGCTTTAGACACAGACTAAACAATTAAAGTGTATTTTAAAATTACACATTTAAAGTTTATTTTACTTTTACTATTCATTATAAAAATATCAAGTTCTTTGTGTCTAATCATTACATATATCATCCCCAAGCCCAAAACACCAAAAAATCCAGGAAAAGTCCTTGATTAAATTCTTCTTATTAAAAGCAACTGTAATTGTCTTGAGAACTTAAAATGATACAGATTTTATAAGATGACGTGAAGATAATTTGAATGAAGGGAATACTTTTATATAACAGGAATAATGGAATAAAATGTGGTTGAGATTTGGAGATTAACTGGGTTAAAAAGTGTGTGTATTTAAAAAATGTCATGCAAACAGGAAACAAAGTGTAAAATGGTTCATTCTGAAGCAGTAGATGGATAGCACCTACACCATTTGATTAGTGAAATTGATTCGTAGATATCGGAGATTAAAAATTAAATACAAACTCAAACATTGTCTACAGCTTTATTCTTTTAGCTGGGATCACAAGCATCTCAGAGTAAAAATATCACACTCCAGATACATAATTTTCAGTCTCTCATACCCCATGGCCAACACAGACCTACAGCTCTCAATGCCTTCTCTCAGTGAATAACTATTCCACCTTTTCTACCTTTCAAGCCAACAGCCTGCTGCATCCTATCCCACTATTCTTCCTTATTTTCATTAAAAAACACTTTCTCAACACCTTTTGTATATATAACTTTTTAAGGAAATCAGTTTGTTGTTTGTATTCCTACTGGAATTTAAAATGTACCAAGGAAGATATTTTCATCAGTTTTGTTCAGTTCTGGATGCCAGTTTCTAAACAATGCTTGGCACAAAATGAACACTCAAAAATATTAATTCATAAATTTTGGATAGATTAAGTAAGCCTCATTCATATTTATTAATACCTAATTTTCTCTAAATTTGTCTTATGTGTTTTTAAACTTTATTAGGATTACCATTTCCTTATACATATGGGTAAACTGGATTGTATTTTTTTTAAAAGTACTATCACTAATGCTAATTATATAATTTAGAATACTAGAAAGCACTTTTTTTCATGTAACTAAAATATGTAATTAAATTTTGAAGAGCCAAGGGTTATAAATTTTTCTAAGGAAAATATAGAGTACTTTAGAAAACCCATTTCGAATTTCCAAAATTCTCATGCCTTCCAGGGATTCTTACGCTTTCCTTTAAATAATGCTGGAGGAATTAGTATCCAAATGTTCTCTTGAGTTTTTTGTTAATTAGGCTGAATTAACAACATATTACGTATAGTTGTTATTAAGCAGAAATGGTTTCTAAGATCCTTCTCATTTTATATTAATTTACATTTAGATTTATAAGCCTTCGAGAAGATTGAGGAGCAAACTATCCTCATGAGTAACAAATACACTGCACACCACTTGGAATGAATTCATCCTTGCAGAGAGCTCTTCTCATCCATATATGTTGGTTGTTCTTTGTGTCATTTTTAAGGAGAAATGACACATTGTTATTTTACCTTAAATTGTTAATAGAATACTAGGCATCAAATGTGTTATTTAACACACTAAGAGGAGATGTAGGTATTATAAAATTAAGATTTCATTTTTGTTAACGACCTTACATTATAAATCACTATGTGGTTTTCTAAAATACTTGAGAAATAAATAAGCTTATTATGTGAATAATAATTTAAGTATAAAAAAAGTATTGACAAAATTAGTGAAGCAAAAAAAAGCTTACACATCTCAGGGAGAAACATAATCATTTTAACTGAACTTCCACTGTTATTTTCATTTACAAAGTAAAACAGAAAACCATGGAATTGAAACCTTTCAATATGGAATTCATAATTAATTTCCTGTAGAATTTTTTACATTATCATTAGAGATTAGTCAAGAAATGAAATAATGTATGTGGGAAGTACTGCAGATTACCAAAGGATTATGCAGTGACAGCATTCACTGCACTGGCTGCATTATCACATTCCATGATACTAATTTTCCTGGGTCTACAGTTAACAATGGGCACATAACATGAAGCATAACTCAGTGAAGCAATTCAGCAAGGTGCTGGGATTATGTAGGCCAGATGTGTAGCCTTCTGGTGGTGATACTTAATTCAAAGACAGAAGGTAGAGTAAGAGTAAATATACATAGCACTTTTACCTATTTGAATATATCCTACAATTGTTTCTACATGTGCCTACATATTAGCATCTATAATGATAATAATTATAGATCTGCTTGCAATACTTAAAAAGTATAAAATACCATAGAGGTACATACATTAAGGACTGGGTAAATAATATACTGTATGTTCTATGAAAATACTTTATATAGCTGATTAAACAAATTCTAACAGGGCCTAATATTAATTAATCAAAACACACTATTAAGGAAAGAAAAGACCCTAGCTTCAAGAAGCATAAAAAATAAATAATAACATTTATTTATATTAAGAAAGTACAACTATCTATTTGCTATTTTTAAGTCAATTATCAAATATTTCTAAATTAATATAGTTTAACCTCATATATTTAATTCTTAAATATGTTCATCCTTGGAAAATATCTTAAAAATAAAAACTGTAAGCATATTTCCCTCAGTTAGAATAGTTGAGCTTGAAGGGCAAAATGATGTGAGGTTAATTTTAAAGTACACTTTTATTATATTTATGATGTGGCCATTTTAAGCATCACTTGATAGAATCTGAAATATACAGGCTTGATGTGTGATTCTCCAGAGATAGTATAGAGTTAATATTGTTGATTGCTTGTTGAAAGTTTATTCACATATTTATACATAAATTGTCAAGTTGATGTCCCCTCCTTATTAAAAACTTGAGGAGTTTGACATACGCCTGGATGAAAACACACTTCTGTTAAAAAGGTAGAGTAAACTATTACCTTCAATCAAACTAGAATTTTTCCTCATGAATAAGTTAAGGGCCCACTCCTGGATACTTATAAGGGACATATGAGTTTCAAATTTCAGCATCAAAATGTAATTCTGAGTTATTTTCATTTGATTTTCTATGAATCCCCCAAATTTGTTTTAAGGTATTAGAACTCTAGGATTTAACCTAAGACTGAAGAAGCGATGTCAATTATAGTTCTATTAAGCAAGAGAGAATGAGAGCCAAGCAAAAGGGGGAACCCATTATAAGACCATCAGATCTTGTGACTTATTCACTACCACAATACCAGTAGTGGGGACACTACCCCTGTGATTCAATTATCTCCCACCTGGTCCCTCCCACAACACATGGAGATTATTGGAGCTACAATTCAAGATGAGATTTGGGTTAGGACACAGTCAAAGCATATCATTCCACCTCGACCCCTCCCAAATCTCATGTCCTCACATTTTAAAACCAATTATGCCTCCCCAACCGTTCCCCAAAGTTTTAACATATTTCAGCATTAGCTCAAAAGTCCACAGTCCAAAGTTTCATCTGACAAAAGGCAAGGCCCTTACACCTATGGGCCAGTAAAATCAAGAGCAAGTTAGTTACTTCCTAGAAACAAAGGGGGTACAGGCATTGGATAAATACACCCAAACCAAATGGGAGAAATGGGGCAAAACTAAGGGGCAAAAGGCCACAAACAAGCCTGAAATCCAGTGGGACAATCAAATCTTAAAGTTCCAAAATGATCTCCTTTGACTCTCCGTCTCACATCCAGGTCATGCTGATGCAAGAGGTACATTCCCATGGTCTTGGGCAGCTCCACCCCTGTGGCTTTGCAAGGTACAGCTTCACTCTCAGCTGCCTTGACCACCTGGCATTGTCTGTGGCTTTTCTAGGCACCTGGTGCAAGCTGTCAGTGGATCTACCATTTTGGGATCTGGAGAACAGTGGCCCTCTCACATAGCTCCACTAGGCAGTGCCCCACTGGCAACTTATGTGGGGGCTTAAACCCCCCATTTTCCTTCTGTAGGGCCTTAGCAGAGGTTCCTGTGAAGGCCCCGCCCCTGCAGCACAACTTCTGCCTGGACATCCAGGCATTGTTATGCATCCTCTGAAATCTAGGCAGAGGTTCTCAAACCTCAAAACTTGACTTCTGTGCACCCGTGGGCTCAACACCACATGGAAGCTGCCAAGGCTTGGGGTTTGCAAGCTCCGGATCCACAGCCCATACTAACTCATTGCCTTATCAGCATTAACCATTTCACTTAAGCAAGGTGTACCTTGGTCCCTTTTAGCCATGGCTAGAGTGGCTAGGACACAGGGCACCAAGCTTTTAGGATACACACAGAAGGGAGACCATGGGCCCAGCCCAAGAAACCCTTTTTCCCTCCTAGGCCTCCAGGCCTGTGATGGGAGGAGTTGCCTCCAAGGTCTCTGACATGCCCTGGAGACATTTTCTCCATTGTCTTGGTGATTGGCATTTGGTTCCTCATTACTTATACAAATTACTGTAACTGGCTTGAATTTTTTCTCAAAAAATGGGATTTTCTCTTCTACCACATTGTCAGACTATAAATTTTCTGAACTTTTATGCTCTGTTTCCCTTTTAAAACTGAATTATTCTAACAGCACCCAAGTCGCTTGTTGAATACTTTGCCGCTTAGAAATTTTTTCCACGAGATACCC
Source organism: Homo sapiens (assembly GCF_000001405.40). Classification (NCBI taxonomy): domain Eukaryota; kingdom Metazoa; phylum Chordata; class Mammalia; order Primates; family Hominidae; genus Homo; species Homo sapiens. Next base: position 26,175,147 of record NC_000005.10, on the reverse strand, counting down.
TAAATCATCTGTCTCCAGTTCAAAGTTCCACAAATCTCTAGGGTAGGGGAAAAATGCCACCAGTTTCTTTGATAAAACATAGCAAGAATCACCTTAACTGCAGTTCCCAACAAGTTTCTCCTCTCCATCTGAGACCACCTCAGTGTGGATTTTATTGTCCATATCATTACCAAGATTTTGTTAAAGTGATTCAACAAGTCTCTAGGAAGCTCCAAACTTTCCCTCTTTTTCCTGTCTTCTTCTAAGACCTCCAAACTGTTCCAACCTCTGCTTGTTGCCCAGTTCCAAAGTCTTTTCCACATTTTTGGGTATCTTTACAGCAGCACTCCACTCCTGGTACCAGTTTACTGTATTAGTCCATTTTCATGCTGCTGATAAAAACATACCCAAGAGTGGGTAATTTATAAAGAAAAACAGTTTAATGGGTTCACAGTCCCACATGACTGGGAAGGCCTCACAATCACGGTCACAATCATGGCAGGGTGAAAGGCACACCTTACATGGTGGCAGGCAAGGGTGAAAGGCACATCTTACATGGTGGCAGGCAAGGGTGAAAGGCACATCTTACGTGGTGGCAGCCAAGTGAAAACGGAAGCCACATATAAAACCATTAAATATCATAAGGCTTATTCACTACCATGAGAACAGTATGGGGGAAACCACCCTTATGATTCAATGATCTCCCACTGGATCTCTCCCATAACATGTTGGAATTATGGGAGTTACAATTCAAGATGAGATTTAGGTGGGGACACAGCCAAACTATACCAAGGTCTTTATCCCTAACTGTTAGATAGGTATTTTAAAAATATTTTATCTAAATATACAAACATACTAACTCATTGCCTTATCAGCATTAACCATTTCACTTAAGTAACATCTTTGCAATTCAGATAGCTGTCATGAAGTGTGATTGATAGTTTATTTATTATTAGAATAATATTGCATCTAAGAATAATTAAAGTCTCTCCACTCCTATGTTTTGCTACTCACCCATTCATCCATTCTAATTTGTGAGAACTGGTAAAGATGAGAAAAAATGTGAGTTCATATCACCTATTATAATTTAATTATGTCCACCTGGGCTAAAATCACTATTTTTCATTAATTATCATGTGTATAATTGAGGGGCTTACATTTTTATGGTCATGTAGGTATGCGTATATTGGCATGTATATTATTGTGTTTTTCAGTATTTAATAATTTACATATTATGTACAGATTTAAAATATACAGTATTATTTTAAGAGCATGGAATAGCAATACTTATATTTTGCTTAACCTAACCACAATTTGGGTCATATAATTATTGTCATTCTAAAGGCAAAAGAATTACAACCAGTGCGTTGAAAATCTATCATGTTTCTGACTACCCAGCAGGTTGTACATCCTTGGTTATAATTGGCAAATTCCCAGCCTTATGGTCTTGCACACCAAAGTACAACCCAGAATTAGGAATTTCTAACAGTATTGTAGACTAGTACAAAGGCTTGTAACAGAAGAGCTTCATACCAGAAACACTCCAAATTTAAGTTAGAAAATGAGTAACTTGATAAAGGCTTCCTAACACCCATCATAGGTAATGATCACATTATCAGATCTTGATTGCAACAGGGATAAATAGTCTGGTATTCTGTTGATTTCAAGATTGAGTACCTGACAAGGAAATTTCTTTGGGCAACAAAAACAGTAGTTGTATTTTCTTTGCATCATTTTTAATATATGACCTTAGGCACATTACTGAAATGTGTTTTCTGTATCTAATAATAATTTTCTGAACTGCCTAATATTCTTTTACTGAATCAATTTTTGCTTCTTCATTCAGAGTCGGCATCTGTTATTTGCAAGTAAGACCCATGCATTAAACAGAAAATTCTGATGTCTGTTAAATAATTGTCTTTGCTATGAGCTATACGCGACAGAAAATCTGACATTAGCTTTACAAATGTTCTTTTTTTTTTTTTTTTTTTTTTTTTTTTTCAGCCAGTGCCCTCAGAAGTGCAGACGGAGAAGATCGTTGCATTGATTCAGTGCTCAAAGCTGACAGGCCCAAGATTTCTGCATTTCTCTTAGCCTTTTCCTGCGGGGCCATATGACAATTGTTAGAGATGCAGCCACTAAGACAGAATTTCCTGCAGGAAAAGAGGTTAAAATAGATAACGCAAAGAGAAATAGGAGACAGGTGTATTAGAAATACAAAAGTTTTGCCAGTATTCCCAGCAGACTCACACTTGTGCCTAGTCGGCTCATGTTGTGTTACAGCGCCATCATAATTGCAGTACAGCCTGGTGACTACAGTTTTAAAGCTGGGTACATTGCTGTTCCAAATTAAATTGGGGATTGGTTTTTAACAAAGGACCTAGCTTGACTATGCTATTCAGGATCTATGCATCCACATTCAGATAATATAAACTCTCTTAGCTGTTTTACCAAAATGTATTTATTTCATAAAGGGAATTGTGTATTTATAGAAAGTATCAACGGCTTGAGGAATAGCAATAATCTTTATTTTCCGGAATGACTTTTGAAACAATGTTCCTATCAACAGAACCAGCCTGTCAAAAGATGTGCTACTTCTGCTTCAGTCAGAAAATTGCCGAATTAAATGTTGGCCCCTGAGTCATACTCCATTGGTCATAATCTTGGAATAGTGAAGCCACTGCTGTAATTGTTAGATCCAGAACTGCACTGCTCCAGGCCTAATGCATGGATCTCACGTCTTTTCTAAATATCGCACTTGAACTGGTCTCAAATTCAAGTCTCATATGAACCAAATAAGATAGAAACCAAATCACAACACAAAGCCTATCTGTAGAAAAGGTTCAGAATATAGGCCAGGCGCGGTGGCTCACCCATGTCATCCCAGCACTTAGGGAGGCAGAGGTGGGCAGATCACAAGGTCAGGAGATCGTCACCATCCTGGCAACATGATGAAATCCCGCCTCTACTAAAAATACAAAAAAATAAGCTGGGCGTGGTGGTGTGTGCCTGTAATCCCAGCTACTCAGGAGGCTGAAGCAGGAGAATTGCTTGAACCCGGAAGGCGGAGATAGCGGTGAGCCGAGATCCTGCTACTGCACTCCAGCCTGGTGACAGATCGAGAATCCGTTTCAAAAAAATAAAAAATAAAAAAATAAAGAAAAAGTTAAGAATATAATTTGTAACTTCTAAGCCTCCACATGCAGAATGGTGTACCAGAAAACTGTTGAGAAGTTTGTATGACCATATATACTACAATTATGCAAAAATAAAATTATATTTTAGTAAATTATATTATTTAACCATTACATTACATTAGTAAAAGATGAAATCACATTATAGTTCTTTGAAATCATGATGATTTAAAGGATAAACTAGAAAATGCTTTCTCTATTGTCAAGACCACCCAAGGTAGTTCATTCTCTCTTTAAAAAGCCATGCCTGGGTTACCAGCTCATTCTTCTGATTCATTCCCTGTCTCTTACCTTATTTCCTTCACAGCACTCTTTCTAGAGTAATTAGAAAGTGGGGAAAGTAACTATTAAATAAAGTAATTTTACTCTTTTTAAAATTTTTTGCAGCTCATTGTCCAGTAGAGCATCAACATTGAGTTCCCAACTGTGCATATGAGGTTCTGCCAAACTCTCTTCTTCCAACATTCCTTGTTTTATTCCTGAAAACACTTCCAAACATTTTATGTTCTAACACTAGACATCCTATAGTTCTCTACACACTTCTTTGTTTCCCAAATCCATAAATTGACTTTTGGAGTTCTTTTATATTTGTCTCACATATTTTCCAAGCTAAATTTATTCACCTCTTCAGATATAGCTCTGCCATCACAGCCTATTAGATGCCTTCCCTAACACGACGGTCTTTCACTTAACTTTCTTTCTACTCTCCTTAAGAACAGCTCCCAATACTATTTGAAAATATCTGTCACTGGCTGGGCACGATGGCTCACACCTGTAATCCCAGCACTTTGCGAAGAAAAGGTAGGTGGATAACCTGAGGTCAGGAGTTCGAGACCAGCCTGGCCAACGTGGTGAAATCCCATCTCTACTAAAAATACAAAAATTAGCCAGGCATGGCAGCGGGTGCCTGTAGTCCCAGCTACTTGGGAGGCTGAGGCAGGATAATCGCTTGAACCCAGGAGGCAGAGGTTGCAGTGCGCCAAGATCATGCCACCGCACTCCAGCCTGGTGAAAGAGTGAGAATCCATCTCAAAAAAAAAAAAAAAAAAAAAAAAAAAAGAAAATATCTGTAGTGTACCTGGTACATTTTAATTTCCTATCTAAGAAATTTGTCTTTTCTATGAGATTATGAGTTACCTGAAGATAAGATTAATATTCACGTGTATATTCTCAGCACATTGCTCAATGCCTATTCCCTCTAGGTTGTCCATGTGTTTATGAGAGAAAAACAAAATCCGATGAAAAAGATTATGTTTTTATATTAATATTGATTGATGGGAAAAGCTTTTATCTGAGTGTTGTTTGATTTTTTATATGAAGATTACCTGGAATATTCTTGGTTATTAACACCAGTGGTTTTAACACAGGTAAAATATTCACTTGTACTGGGGAAAAGAAGAAGACAATGTGATGGTTTATGTGTCAACCTGACTAGGATAAAGGATGACCAGATAGCTGGTAAAACATTATTTCTACGTGTGTCTGTGAAGGTGTATCTGGAAGGGATTGGCATTTGCATTGGTGGACTGAGGATTGTGCTGCCCAGTTTGGGTAGGCTTCATTTAATCCATTAAGGGCCTTGAATAGAACAGAAAGGTAGAGGAATGGCAAAGTCACTTTGTCTCTCCCTTACAGAACTGGGACATCCATCTTCTCTTGTTTTCAGACATTGGAGCTCCTGGTTCTTGGGCCCTTGAACTCAGATGGAGATTTACATCACTGACTCCCTTTCTTAGACCCTTGAACTATGACTGAGACTTAAACCAAGACTTTCTCTTGTTCTCAGGTCTTTGGGTTTGGACTGGAACTACACCTCTGGCTTTCCTGGGTCTCTTGTAAATGTCATATTGTGAGACTCTCAGCCTTTGTAATCACATGAGCAAAAAGTGTAACTAATCACCTCATAATAAATTCATAATAAATATCTTTATATTTATATCTGTATGTTTATCGTCTATATCTTCTTTATTGGTTCAGTTTCTTTGGAGAATCCTGACTAATATACAAGACTTATTGATGTTGTTGCTGTTATTATGAGCATGAAGCTAAAGTTTATTTGAATTGCTCATATATTCTCATACCATGAAACATCAAAATTACTTAAATAAGGTGAACATGTTTTAACAAATTTTTTATAATGTACTGTTTCTATGTCTGTAGAGGCAGAAAATGCTAAAGGATCTGAATAATTAGTCAAAAGATCAGAAATTTTCAGGACAAATATTTGACATCATTTCACACAGAATTTTTCTAAATGTTGGAATTATACTTTATGTAAATGGAATAGGTATTTTACTGAGAAATATATTCTATTCAAAGAGATTATTTCCTACTTATTTACTGATACCTTTTAATTTCACTACCAAAATTCTAAGCCTTATTTACTTTTTTAGAGATGAAATAAATGTAACTACTTCTTTAATTAATGTTTTGAAGAAATAGTGCATAAATTATGGACAAAAGCTGCTCTCTTGTGTGATTAGTTACACTTTTTGCAAGATTATTATTATTAGTTATTTCACAATAATTAATTGTTTTCTTTAATAAGGAACATATTTTCCATATTCTAAATTCAGCTAATAATAAAATAATAATACAATATCCATATGGAATTGTGGCTCTGAGTTGTCTTTTAGAAAATGCTCTCTAAAAAGCAGTAATGGCTCAGAAGTTTATCTACCCTAATGTTACTCTGATTAGTGTGTTTGAGAATTGATCCTTAAAATACTAATCTGGTAAGTTTCCATCTTAATAGTGCACATCTAAAAAAAAGAAAACTCAACATGTTATCGGAATAGAGAATTAGTCCATGCAGGGCAATCAGTAACCATTTTAATTTGAATATCACTCAACATTTTCTAGCAAGGACATGAATCCTGTTCATATTTTTGGCCATCAAAGTTTTGGAAATAGCTCTCATTTAAGATTTTCATACAGTCTTGTAGATTTTTAAGACTGGTTGCTTTTTCTGGGCATTAGAATTCTGGACTCTGAACGCTAGGGTAAAAACCTAGTATAAATGTAATTGATTTTTTAAAGGTTTCTCTAAAGTTCAGTAGAGATTTAAAATGAAGAATTTCAAGCCTGCCTGGCTATAAATGAAATACGTTCTTTAATGTTGGAACCAAGAGCATTTTTTTCTTGTCAGCAGAATGTAAAAAAAAAAAAGCATCGTTGAAAAATATCAAATATGACAAATAAGTCAAGCATATTTTCATCCTTGTCTTGATGTTTTTGTCATTGGAGGTCAAAGTTCTCATGATCTTACTCCTGATTTGTTTTAAATTTGGGGGCAGGTGGGATGGGATCCAGATTAAAGAATCCCAATTGGGAATTTTGTCAATTATCCAGCTCAAATGAATTGGAGGAAAGGAAATACTTATAGACAAAGACATACACAGAGACAGAAACATATATATACAAACACATACACATACACATACGTGCATGCACATATATGCACACATACACATATACCCATATGTGGCTATAGTTATTGTTTATATTTATATAAAATGTATTAAAATATTAATATAAGCAGAATATGACTGATTAAAAACCAGGAAAGGGATATTAAACAACAACAATAAGACTAAGTATATGTAATAATAGATAAGTATTTACCTTATTTATAATGGAAAAATAGAGAAGTTTTAAAAGGAGTGAATACTTTCATAGGAAAAATTCGGAGAATGTTAGAGTATAAGATCATTCTATTTATAGTATTTTTATAATTAATTTTACATTAAAGGTAGCGATTAAAGACATCATAGCTCTCATACTATCCAAGTACTACAGAAAGAAATTATATTGATTTATTAGAAGTCAGAAAAATGACTGCATTTAAGTTTCTCTTTTACATGAACATTGATATCAAATAGAGAAGAATGACCTCTACTCTTGCATAGAATTTACTTTGCATAAAACATGTTCATTCAAATCTGAGTCAAGAATTCCTTTCTACAATAACACTAAAAATGCATATGCTGTTAGAATAGCATATTTCAAAATTATCTAGCTTTTTATCTAATAAAATTTTTTTGTTTATTTTCCAATAATATGTATGCATACTTAATGTCCGAAAGAAAGTGTTATAAAAAAACTCATGAGTGTTAATTTGCTTTTGGTAGTACTGTTACTATATTAAATACTTTAAGTAAGACTATTCTACCACCACTGCTACCACTTATATAATGAGAATGATAAACAATAATGTTAGGATTTGTGGATGACTTACTATTAGATTTGCATTCTCCAAATATTTTACATGTATTATATCTAATATCAGCATTGAATTTTGTGAAAAGTTCATTAGGTTTCAGTTTGAAATCTAGAGAGGAAAGAGATGCATCATTGTAAAATAATACCATAAAAAATGGCTTTCCTGTTCCTTAATCCTATTGTTAATTTGACAACTAAATGTATCATAATCACTATTTATATCCACAGTTAAAAAAGAAGAAATAAAAGATTACATACCCTACTTAAACCCGAAAAAAGATTTTTTTTTTCATTTTCGTAGTGCCTAAATTACTGTGTGTCTGGACAAAAAATATTTTTACTGCATATATTTTCCCCCTACATAGCTCATCACAAAATTATAATTGACATCAACATTTTTTTCAAAAAGTATATCTCAAAGCAAAAGTAAAATTACTGTTTTTCCATATGTTGGTGAGACAAAATAACTATATGAAACATCATATCAGTTGAAATTATGCCCTTGTATCTAGTGAATTTTCTAAAAATATTTTACTATGTGTGAATATACACAGATAAAATATTTGTGCATTTTAATTCTGTCTGTAAATTCAGAAACAATCGTAAAACATGTTTAAATATTTTCAGAATGTTAAGTCCAGTTCGAAAGGGAAATTAAACTTAAAATTACGGTCCAAAATTAGTCAGAGAAACAGATAAGTTAATTAAAACACCTAATGGATTGAAAGTTACTTTAGCTGTTTCGTGTGTATTTCCCTTTTTAATGTGTTGAATTGGCTAAAATTAATTTTTCTTATGAATGCATTTCTTTGGATAACCATGATAGATATGTGTTTTCATATATAATCAGATGAGCTCTTTTTTACTAAAAGTTGTGAAAGCCTGAATATACCAGAGAAGAGTTAGTTGTGTAGTTCAATACAGTTTCAAGTATCTAAAGACTTGTATTCAATGGGTTCTTATTCCTTTTGCCTTTAACACTCTTATTTACTGCAAAGATGGTGTTTATAAGAGTGTATAGTTGCTGGTTTTTATCCTTTTTTACTTCTTCACTTGAGATTAGAGAGCAAGTTAATCATTGTAAAGGAAACTGCTACTTTATCTGAAGTGCTATTCTCATATAGAAATAAATGATGTCTCTGGCAGGCTTTTAGTGACAATATTTTAAGTGTCCTGCAATGGGTATGACTTTAAAGTTGTCCCATTCTGTTATCCATATTATGTTTATGTAACATTCTAGACAATATCCTATGACAGTGTTGCCCCAGAAAAAAAAAAAAAACTTGGATCACACGATTCTGTTACCTTCCACTATGGATGAAGTAAGCCAAAAGGCACAGTTTAAAAAAAAATACAAATCCCCAAGAATAATTTTTTGGGGTGGTATTTGACAATCACTATCGCTATATATTATATCAGTGGCCCTTCTTGAGGGGAAATTTATGTTGATTAGATTTTGTACTTAAAATTCACAATTATTGACCAATCCTGAGGGATCTGCTGTTTCGTTAGTTGTTTCAAATTCTAGTGAAGGCTGTGGACTGCTAAAACGCTGTGCCTTTTTTTTCACAATTACACTAGATATCTAGAGTTTTCTTATTTACTTATTTTAAAGGAAAAACGCACTGCTAACAGAAAATGCCTTCTTATAAGCAGGCCACAATTAAGCTTACACAACATTTTAATTACTTAGTTTATTCACTGTTTTAATATGAACTGAATCATGATATATCTACTATCCAAGATACTTAAGAAAAATAAGATGTAAAATAAAAATATATACCCAGAATGCAAAGAAAATGAAGTCCTAAGTTCAGAGCTATATTAAAAACCCAGCATGAATGCAGTGTATATTAGAGAATTGCAAAGTATAATTAAGAAGTTGTATTGTTTTATGTACATTATAATAAAGAAAATCAAAAGCCCATTTAACTTATGAATATAAGTGAAGGATTATTGATTCAACTGAATCCTTACATATTAAAAAGTATGCGGTGAACCAGTGAGTTTAACAGTATACAAATAAAGCATCATGATTAAGCAGCATTTATTCCAGAAACACAAAGCTTCTCTCACATCAGAAAACCTAATAACATAAATTAGAAAATTAATGGACAACATATAGCCATACCATAATTTCAAATAATGTAAACAAATTACTTTATGAATTTCAACACTTTTTTATGACTTAAATTATTTAGCGAATAAAGACTGGGAGAGAATTTTTTAATTTGGTTATAATTACATGCCAAAAAAGAAAATATAACAGACATTATACTTATTAGAGATACTTTTTGTTTTTTAGATACATTCTTTGAGAGCAAGGAAACAATGTCTACTATCATTGAATTATTTGTACTGTCATTACTAGCACAACAAAGCAAAGTTTTGTGAGGATTGGAAGAGGAGGGCTGCACACTTTTTAATTAGCTAACAATATCTCAATTAGCGAAGTCAACAGTTAAGAAATAAACTAAGAAAGCAAGTAAAAGTGTTTGACAAATTTTCTAGATGAAGCACGGGCTTACAAATACTGGTAACATATCTCTAACCAACTAGAAAACATAAATTGTAAAAATATACCTTTCATAATATCAATAAGAACTATGTGTATAATAATTAACTTAAGCGAGAATATAGCAGACGCTTGGACAAATAAGTTTAAAATTCTAATAAAACATTGATTATAATATGAATTAATAAATACTCCAAAGTTCTAATTTAAATTGAAAAAGACTTTATTAGAACCCTAACCCACCTAGGGAAAGGGTATTTATCTAACACCAGACACCTCTACTGTTCACTCATATTAATTGAGGAAGGAAGAACTGTAAAACATTTGTTAATGTCAACACTTCAAGATGTAGACTGGAAATTAATCACAGGACTATGAAATATTATGCAATACTAAATTACTATCGTATCAACAAGGGTCAGATATTTTCAGGGGACTGCAACTTGAAAAGTGCTGAAAGACACAAACTCTTTCTGAAAAGGAGTTTGTAGAGACGTCCAAAGTCAAGGAGGGAGACAACAAAAAAATTACATGGCATGCCAAATGACAAGAAAAAAAAAAAACAGTGTAAGAAGACAAAGTAATCATGGAACCAGACTCAGATATGACACAGATTTTGGAATTATCAGCGAGATAATTTATAGTAGCTATGATTAATATGTTAAAGACTATAATAGTAAATGACAGGCAGGAACAGATATGAAATATAAGTAGAAATATAGAAAAATCTAAGAATAAAAAGGGAATGCTAGAAATTAAAACAAAACAATATTTAATAGAAATGAAAGATATCTTTGATGGCCAAGGAAAGAATCAATGGAAAGGCAAAAAAAAGAAAAGAAATAGGAGGAAAAAAAGTAGAACAGAACATTCAATAACTATGGGAAAAATCTAAAAAGATGTAACCTAAATATGGAATAATGGAATAACAAAGAGAAAAAAGAGGAACCAGAAACTTAGAACTTATCAAAATTAATACCAACAGCAAAAATTCCATCTAGGAAGCTCAGAGAATATCAAGTAGAATTAAATATATATATATATACCTAGGCATGTTATATTCAAAGTGCAGAAAGCTGTTTGTGGAAATAAATGCAAAATCTTAAACAAAGCCAGAGAAAATAAACACCTTACCTAGAAAGGTAGAAGGATAGGAATTTCAGTGGGCTGCTCATCAGTAATCATGCAAGTAAGGGGGGAACGTGAAATATTTAAAGTGTTGAAGGAAAATACCAACATAAAATTAGATATCTAATTAAATTACCATTCAAATTTGAAGAAGAAATAGTTTCCTAACAAACAAAAACTGAAGGAAATAATTGCCAACAAATCTGGTCTACAAGAAATGTTAAAATAAGTTTTTAAGGAGAAAAAAGGATAATATAAGTCAGAAAATACTTAAAGAAAAGAAGAATGCCAGTGAAGTAATGAATACAGGTAAAATAATATATATCATTTTTTATTCTTTTTTTTTTTTTTGAGACGGAGTCTTGCCCTGTCACCCAGGCTGGAGTGCAATAGCACAATCTCGGCTCACTGTAACCTCCGCTTCCTGAATTCAAGTGATTCTCCCACCTCAGCCTCCCAAGTAGCTGGGATTACAGGCACCCACATTCATGCCTGGCTAATTTTTGTATTTTGGCAGAGATGGGGTTTCACCATGTTGGCCAGGCTGGTCTCGAGCTCCTGACCTCAGGTGATCTGCCCACCTCGGTCTCCCAAAGTGCTGGGATTATGGGCATGAGCCACTGTGCCCTGCCTATAATCTTTTATTCTTAATTGATCAAAATGATAATTGTTTGTTAATGTCATAATAGCACCAATGCAATGGGTGATAAAACATAAGAATAACCAATAGGAATGACAACAACATCATAAGTACCTCAAGAAAGAGAATGAGAATAAACCTTTATGTGCAGTAATATAAGTGGACTTATGTTCATTTAAATTTGTATTGGAACCTCTTAAGAAGCTACTAAACAAAGTTTTTAAATGAAGAGAAAATTGATATCACAGTAGGGAAGATGTAATAGAATCATATAAAATACTAAATTCATGCCAGCAAAGGCCAAAATAGATCAGGGGAAAGGAGAAAGAAAGAAAAAATACCAGAAATAGAAAACTGTTTCAAACATGGCAAATATTAATCCATTGATATTAATAATCACTTCAAATGTCAATGGTGAGCACATCAATTAAATGCCACAGAATGTCAGGTTACTTATTAAAAAAAAAAGACCAACTATATGTTGTCTATAAAAATCCAAATAATAAATAAACACTAGGATGGAGAAATATACAGACTGCTAACACTAATCAAAATAAACCTGTAGTTATATTAATTTTATAAAAATCAAACCCTATAAACTGAAAACATATGAGTGTAAAAGAGGGGCATTAAATAATTATAAATAGGTCACTTCTCCAAAAAGATATATTAATCCTAAGCAAGTATGCAGCTAACAACAGAGCTTCAAATTACTGTTCAGCGTCAAAACTGATAGGAGAAATAGACTTATCCACTATGATAGCCAAAGATTTCAACATCCTTTTATCAGTAATTTGTAAGACAAGCAGGCAGAAAATTGGTAAAGCTAGAGCTGACCTGAATAACTATGTCAATCTACCTATATAACTGATATACAACATTAAACAACAGCAAAATACACATTCTTCTCAAGCTCACACTAAATATTCACCAATATAGAGGCCATAAAACACATGTTAACAAATTTTAAGTAATAAAAAGCTGTAAAGTGTGTCAGAATATATAATTAAACTAAAAATCAATATCAGGAAAATAGCTGGAACATTCCTCAAATATTGGTAAAGTAAATAACATTTCTAAATAGCAACGGTTTAAGAAGTCTCAAAGTTAACAAGTATTTTAGATTAGATGTATATAAAACTATGATATATCAAAATTATGAAATGCAGTGATAGCAGTAATTACAGGAAAAATTAAGGCACTTAAGCACTCACATTAGACAAGAAGAAAGATCTAAAATGAATAATATAAGATTTACCTTAGGCTAAAAGAAGTTAACTCTAAAACAAGCAAAAGAAAATAAATGATTCAATTAAAGTAGAAATCAATGAAAATAAAAACAAAAAAATAGAGAACATTAATAAAACTAAAAGATGGTTCTTTCAAAAGATCAAAAAAATAAATAAACATCTAGCCAAGATAACAAAGAATAGAAAGGACTACAAATATTAATATCAGAAATTAAAGAGGAGTAATGATTAATGATCTTATGGATGTTAAGAGGATGATAGAGGAATGGTACAAACCACTCTAATTTCATAAATTTGATGAATTAGATGAAATGTATGAATTTCATGAAGACGTGAACTAGCAACCACACACAAAAATAAACATATAACACGAATACAACTGTATATATAAAATTAATAACCTTCCCACCCCCTAGAAAAAGTACCAGGCATAGTTTATTATTTCACTGGTGAATTCTACCAAACAATTAATGAATAAACAATATCAATTCTTTACAATCTGCTCAGAAAATGGGAGCAGAGGAAACACTTCTTATTTTTTTCAGAACAGTATTCCCTTAATACTGAGGAGAGAGGCCATTTCTCTTACTGCCTCCTGTCTCTGAAGAGGAAGAGGAAGTAAAAGCTGAAAAACAACAGGAATGAAGTCAGTGGCAAGACCAACCAGTGCCACTGATCAGGCCTGAGGTTAAAGATTAACCCCCCCACACTCTGACCACATGTGTTACCTATAGATCACTTGCTCAATCTGTCACGACCCTTTCACGTGGACACCCTTAGAGTTGTAAGCCCTTAAAAGGGCCAGGAACTTTTTCTTTGGAGAGCTTGGTTCTTGAGACGCAAGTCTGCCAATGCTCCCAGCCGAATAAAACCTCTTCCTTCTTTAACCCGGTGTCTGAGGGGTTTTGTCTGTGGCTCGTTCTGCTATAATACCAAAACAGATAAATATATTATAAAAAATAAAATCTACACATTTTACACATTAATATTTTCATGAACAGGCTTGCAAATATTTTTAACAAAATATTATCAACTTTATCTAAAAAAGCATAAACAGGATTATTCACCAAGACCATGTGTAATTTATTTCAGGTATGCAAGGCAGCTTCAACATTTGAAAATCAATATATATTATTTATTACATTAATTGCTTTTCTAACATTGCTTTTCTTTTTTCGTTCTTTTTTTTTTTTTTTTGAGATGGAGTCTCACTCTAGCCCAAGCTGGAGTGCAGTGGTGCAATCTTGTATCACTGCAACCTCTGCCTTTGGGGATCAAGCAATTCTCATGCTTCAGCCTCCCAAGCAGCTGGGACTACAAGCCTGGGCCACCACACCCAGCTAATTTTTTTGTATTTTAGTAGAGACGGGGTTTCACCATGTTGCCCAGGGTGCTCTTGAACTCCTGAGCTCAGGTGATCCACCCGCCTCAGCCTCCCAAAGTGCTGGGATTACAGGCGTGAGCCACCACCCTCAGCCTAACATTGCTTTTCAATGTTACTAAGATTAGAATTTTAAATACATAATTATAGAATTAATAAATACATCCATAGATATAAATCTAACAAAATGTGGAAAACTACAAAACTCTGGTGAGGGAAATAACAGAAAATCTAAATAAATGGGACATAGTCCATGAACATGGTTTAGAAGAACTGATATTATTAAAAATGTCAATTCTTTCAAATTTTACCTATGAATTCAGTATAATCCCAAATAAATCTATGAATTCAATATAATCCCTATCCCAGGAAATTATTTTGTAGACATTCAAAACAAACTGATTCTAAAATTTATATAGACAGACATAAGGCCTAGAAGAAGCAACAAAATATTGAAGAAAACAGACAAAGTTCAAGAGTTCACACTACCAGGTTTCATAACTTACTACAAAGCTATGGTAATAAAAACAGTATGGTATTAGCAAAGAAACAGATACAGAGATGAATGTAACAGAAGACAGAACCAAAAAACCGGTTCACAACAAAATTGTCAACAAAAATATAGTCGCTGACATAGGAGCAAAGGCAATTCAATAGAGAAAATATAGTACTCAAAAACTGGTGCTGGAATAATTGAACATCCATATGTAAAATTGAACTTAGGCAAAAAAAATTATAATTTTCTAAGAAGTTAAGCCAAAAAGATTACAGAACTAAATGTGAAATGCAAAACTATAAAACATCCAGAATAAAATATGGGATATGATTTGTTACCTCAGGTTTGGTGATGAGTTTTCAGATAAAACACCAAAAGCACAATTCATTAAGCAAAAAAATTGAAATGTTAGATTTTATTAAAGTTTAAAAACTTTTGCTGAGCAAAAGACACTCTTAAGAGAATGAAAAGACAAACCATAGACTCAGAGCAAATATTGGAAATAATATTTGATGAAGAATTGTATAAAAATATAAAACAAAGCCTTAAAATTAAACAATGAGACAAATAGCACAATTAATATGTGAGCAAAATATATGCCCATTTATGATTTGAACATATAAGTTGCCAAAGAAGGTATACAGATGACAAATATACAAATGAAAAGATGTTCATCAGCGTTTGTAATTAGGGAATTGCAAATTAAAACAATAATGATATGCCTTTACACTCCTATGAGAATAGCTTTAAGATCCCAAGCCTGGCAATACATATTGATGGTGAGGATACAGAGCAACCAAACCTCTCCTTCATTCTGGTGGGAATGCAAAGTAGTACAGTAACTTTGGAAAACAGTTGGGCAATTTCTTACAAAGGTAAACAGTCTTACCATACAATTGCATATAATTACACTTCTAGATAGTCACATAAATGATTTGAAAAGTTATGCTCACACAAAAACCTGCATGAAAATGTTTATAGCAACTTTATCCAGCCCCTTTCCCACCCACCCCCTGCAAATTGGAAGCAACCAAAAGGCCTTTCAATAGGTCAAAGAACAAATGGTTCTATTCATACAGTTGAATATTATTCACTGACAAAAAAAATTGAGCTATCAATTTCTGAAGCAACATGAATGAATGTTAAAACAATTGATAAGTGAAGGAAGCCAGTCTGAAAAGAATATGTATGATTCCAGCTATATATCATTCTGGAAAACACAAAACCTAAAAGGTAATACTTGCTAGTGGTATAAATGGAGAAGGTAGAGAGAGGAGATTGAATTAATAAAACAAGGAGATTTTTGAGGGTGGTGAATTTATTATGATACTGTATTTTTTCATTTTTGTAAATGAAATTATGAATGTGTGAAAACCCATAGAATTTTACAGTATAAAGAAGAAACCATAATCAATTATAATAAAATTTATTTAGAAAATTAGGAGATCCAGGAGTAAAGGTGAAATGTGAAAAACATGTAACTTATTACAAAAGTACAAAATCTTATTTGAGGAGTGAGGATTGCAAGGAAAATAAAATGTTATTTTATTTATTTATTTATTTAAGACTGGGTCTCACTTCGTCACCAGGCTGGAGTGCAGTGGCGTGACCTCAGCTCACTGCAACCTCCGCCTCCCAGGTTCAAGCGATTCTCCTGCTTCAGCCTCCTGAGCAGCTGGCACTACAGGCATGTACCACCACGCCCAGCTAATTTTTGTATTTTTAGTAGAGACAGAGTTTTACCATGTTGGCCAGGATGGTCTCGATCTCTTGACCTCGTGGTCCACCAGCCTCGGCCTCCCAAAGTGCTTGCATTACAGGAGTGAGCTAGCGTGCCTGGTCTATGCTATTTTAAAAGTGAGTGGACTGTGGACTCTGTAAAACTAAAGGCAAAGGAAGCTGTATTGTTCGCCACACTCTAGTTGATATTGTTTCCCATAGAAGGAGGATTTATCAGTTTTGAAATATCTATACAGGTATTGAAGGAACAAGTAAATGGATGGTGGATGGCGGGAGACAGGTTCCTCAGTACTGGAATGACAAGTTACAGATAAACAAGGAAGCTAGAAGGATCCATGTGGTGATGGATTAGAGTTAGAGGTATCAGAATAAATTCATGTTTAACTGAATGTAGATACAGATGGAAACACATAGCAATATTTATATATGTGCATATACATCTATTGTGATACACAAATGTATTTCCTAGTTCTGTCAGCTGAAAGTGCCTAGAAGCAATGACAAAGAATATTAATGTGAACACATAATAACACCTAGATCTTGTTTCTAATACTTTTCTTCAATAAAAGGAACCAGGTCTTTTGCATGAAACAGCTGACTCAAGGATGGTGCAAGAAAAAAAAATGAACTTGAAATATTTTGCGGGGCCAGAAATTGAGAAAAAAAATAAACAAAATGATGGGGCATGTTAAAAAGACAGAGGAGCCAACTGAAAAAGCTTCCAATGCCTCCAATCAGAACAATTGGAGCCAAAATGTAATAGTGTAGTGTATAGGTCTGTATCTTTACAAAGTAAAAAATAAATATTTTTAAGTCCATACTTATATAAGTAAACGGTTGTAGAAATCAAACAATGTGGAAATCAGTGTGTATTTTTGCAGAAGAATTAAAAAAAAAATTATATACATGCTCTAGACTCAACGAAGTGCAGCATAACCTCCCATTCCCTAATTGTGGGCTGCATATAATGACTTCCTTCCAAAGTGCACAATAGGGAAAAGGGCAAAACAAACTAACAGTGGAAAAACCTACCAAACTCTAGTTCTACTAAGTAATGAAGCTCAATAGAAACAGTGATAAGTCATATTGATGGCTTATCAACAATAACAATAGATAAAGTTCTATTGTCACATTATATCAAGGGTGAATGTGACAAAGTTTCTGACCAGGATTCAAAACTGTTTAGAATATAAACGACAGTGTCACAGCCAGGAGAAATCTAGCAAAACATGGCTAATACTGTGATAAACAATCTTGCATGAGGTCCTTAAACAAAAAAAAAAAAAAAAAAAAAACACGATATTGGGTGAAAATTAAGGAAATTTGAATAAATATGGACTTTAACTATTAATAAAGTGTCAACATCTATTCATTAAACGCACCATAAAAATGCACCATACAAAACTACGATGTTAACAATAGGAGAAACAAGGTGTGGAGGTATATGGAGACTCTGTTCTACCTTCACAAATTTTCTGTAAATGTAAAACTATCCTAAATACAATGTTTATTTAAAAAAAATAAGAAGACAGAACACTAAATTGAACAAAAGATAAGCTACATAAACAGGGAAATTATAGAAAATAAAACCCAAAATGCTAATTGGGTTGTGAGTAGATGTGTGTATTTCTTACCAATTGTAGAACTGAAAATTGAAATTATGATAAGTTGTCGTTTTAAACATTTAGATTGGCAAATATAAATGGATGGTAGGGAGCATTGATGGTCTCTTGGGAAGTAGGAACCATCCAATTGGTGAAAGCGCATATAGTGTGGCCATTCAAGAATGTTACCTGGCAGTATTTAGACAAATTAAGTATACACATCAACAAGATGACATTTCTACTTCTCATGGGTATGTCTCTCTCCAAAAAAGTAAAACAAAAATCCTTGTACATTCCTGTAAGTAGACACATACAAGGGTGCCCATTGCAAGATTGTCTGTAGTGACAGAAAGGCAGTTGTAAGAATCTTGGAATGTAAGAGCCAGTTGGATGTGCAATAGTAAGTACTAGATATACATATAGCGACAATGGAACATACTCATGCTAACATTGATATAATGTGAAACTGGATTGAGGGAAATAGCAAAATGATAAGACCTAAAAAACACTTTATCGTGTTTGTAAAAACCATAAGTGCACATGATAGATTGCACTGAGTTAAAATTAAGAACGAGCCTTCATCAAATGACATCAAGTTACCCATATTTTCAGCATATTCTGTTAACAAAATAATTTGCCACTTATAAATTTGGGGATGAAAACTGCTAGCTATATAGTAAAATAAAGTAACATGAGAAATGTTTGTTTTCTGCACACATGCTAATTTATAAATGCTAATTTTATAAAATAAATTATAAATGCACTTTTTAATATCCCTTCATGCAATTTAAACTGATACTCTATCTCTTGTGAAAGAGAGGCAGCAAATTCTTGCATTTTATTGAAGGCTCACTAAAGTTCCTAGCTGTGACCACTTCAATGATGATTTGTTAAGGACTTCTGCATTTTTAAGGCTGAAACTCATCTGGTTTAAGGTTAAGCTGACTAGGGCGTAAATTTGCAACAAGAGAAGCATGGTATCATACACAAATTTTAAGAGTCCATGTGAGTCACAGCAGATAGAATCATCCTTCTAAATTATATACTTTTCACTGTCAACATTTGTGTTTTTATTCCTTCTTTTTTTTCTATTTAAAATAAAAACTCAGTGATCTGTCAGTGAAGTAGCAAAGGAAATATATATGAGTGAATGGCAAATACTTAAGTAAAAGAAAACTAATGTGAGATGGAATTTGCATTCTAGTCATTGGGGTGGTATATAATCGTGTACTGTACTCAGTTAAATGAGTCTGTTGTCTGGCTGTAATGAATATCCACATCCATCCTAACAGTTAATGAGGAATAAATGACTTATTATCCATGAATGGCTGTGTCTAAATAGCTCTGCAACAAAAACAGAATATTAAAATGTGTAGCTAAAATAAATCTTAAATGATAATGAACTCACTTAGATTATTAATTAATTTTTAAAGTATCAATAGGTTCACCGCTTTAGAACAAATTCAGCAATGACATAAGTTCAAACACAATGACAGGCTCAAAGTCTGAATTTAAAATAGATTTGAATGTATATGTACTCATGCTAATGTCTATGTATGTATGCATATATCTGCATATATATTTAAACATATGTATACATATATACAAATAAACACACTAGGACATGCTAAGATACAAAAATATACACATTTAAAGGAAAACTGTCTTGTGTAAGATATATTTGTCACTTTAAAAATAACAACATTTAATTAAACTTACTTACCCAAAGTGCAACAATTCATATTTAATACACTCATTTATGAGTAATAAATTTAATTTTAAAAGGAAATAATGCTATGTTAAAACCATTTTTGATAGGCTTAACATTTATGCATAATTTTTGAAATAACAAGGGCATTTTTTTGTGGAAAAACTAAAAAGGAATATCTTTTAGATTATACCGTTTCCAGTTTACTAAAGTGTAATTCACCAAAAAAATTGTATATATTTAAGGTACACTATGTGATTGTGAAATAATTACCATAATCAAGCTAATTAATATGTCCACACATTACATTATTACCTTTTTTGTGTGTATGTGATGAGAATATTTAAGATCTACTCCTTTAGCCAATGCCAAGCATAGTACATTTTATTAACTGTAGTCATCATGCTGTGTATGAGGCCTCCAACACTTGTTCATCTTATAACTAAAGTTTCTACTCTGGCTAACATCTCCCCATTTTATCCCACCCCCGACCCCTTGTAATCACCCTTCTATTCTGTTTCTATAAAATCAGCTTTTTAACATTCCACATATAAGTGAAATTATGCAGTATTTGTCTTTCTATGTCTGGCTTACTTGACTTAACACAATGTCTTCTAGCTTCATCAATGTTGTTGCATATGGCAGAATTTTTAATTTTTTTCCCTTTATTTCTTCTAAAAAACATCAGGGCACATGTGCAGAACGTGCAGGTTTGTTACATAGGGACACCTGTGCCATCCCCCATATCCTCTAAGTTCTCTCCCCTCACTCCCTACCCCCAACAAGCCCTGGTGTGTGTTGTTCCCCTCTCTGTGTCCATGGGTTCTCAGTGTTCAACTATCACTTACGAGTGAGAACATGCAGTGTTTGATTTTCTCTTCCTGTGTTAGTTTTCTGTGAATGATGGCCTCCAGATTCATCCATGTCCCTACAAAGGATATGATTTCATTCCTTTTTATGGATGCATATTATTCCATGGTGTATATGTGCCACATTTCTTTATCCAGTCATTTATCCTATCATTGATGGGAATCTGTGTTGGTTCCATGTCTTTGCTATTGTAAATAGTGCTGTAATAAACATACGTGTGTATGTGTCTTTGTAGCAGAATAATTTATATTCCTTTGGGTATATACCCAGTATAGGGATTGCTGGGTCAAATGATGTTTCTGGTTCTAGATCTCTGAGGAATCACCACACTGTCTTCCAGAAAGGTTGAACTAATTCACATTCCCACCAACAGTGTAAAAGAATTCCTATTTCTCCCCAGCCTCACCAGCACCTATTGATTCCTGACCTTTTAATAATCACCATTCTGACTGGTGTGAGATGATATCTCACTGTGGTTTTGATTTGCATTTCTCTGATGGTCAGTGATGTTGAGTTTTTTTTCATGGGCTTGTTAGCCACGTAAATGTCTTTCTTTTTTGAGAAGTGTCTGTTCATATCCATTGCTCACTTTTTGATGGTGTTGTCTTTTTCCTGTAAATATGTTTAAGTTCTTTGTAAATTCTGGATATTAGGCCTTTGTCAGATGGGTAGATTGCAAAAATTTTCTCCCATTCTGTATGTTGCCTGTTCACTCTGATGATAGTTTCTTTTGAGTGCAGAACCTCTTTAATTGAATTAGATCTTATTTGTCAATTTTCGCTTTAGTTGCAGTTGCGTTTGGCATTTTTGTCATGAAGTTTTTGCCCATGCCTATTTCCTGAATGGTATTGCCTAGGTTTTCTTCTAAGCTTTTTATATTTTTGGGTTTTACATTTAAGTCTTTAATCCATCTTGAATTAATTTTTGTATATGGCATAAGAAACGGGTCCAGGATCAGTTTTCTATATATGGCTAGCCAATTTTCCCAGCACCATTTACTGAATAGAAGATCCTTTCCCCATTGCTTGTTTTTGCCAGGTTTGTTGAAGATCAGATGGTTGTAGATGTGAGATGTTATTTCTGAGGTCTCTGTTCTGCTCCGTTGGTCTACATTTCTGTTTTGGTACCAGTATCATGCTATTTTGGTTAGTGTAGCCTTGTAGTATAGTTTGAAGTGAGGTAACATGATGCCTCCAGCTTTGTTCTTTTTGCTTAGGATTGTCTTGGCTGTACAGGGTCTTCTTTGATTCAATGTGAAATTTAAAACATTTTTTTCTCATTCTGTGAAACATGTCAATGGTAGTTTAATGGGAATAGCATTGAATCTGTAAATTACTTTAGGCAGTATGGCCATTTTCATGATATTGATTCTTCCTATCTGTGAGGATGGAATGCTTTTCCATTTGTGTCCTCTCTTACTTCCTTGAGCAATGGTTTGTAGTTTTCTTTGAAGAGCTCCTTCACATTCCTTATTAGCTACATTCCTTGGTATTTTATTCTCTTTGTAGTGATTGTGAATGGGATTTCATTCATGATTTCGCTCTCTGCTCGCCTATTGTTGGTGTAAAGAAATGCTTGTGATTTTTGCACTTTGATTTTGTATCCTGAGACTTTGCTGAAATAACTTACCAGTTCAAGAAGTTTTTGGGCTGAGATGATGGGGTTTTGTTAATATAAAATCATGTCATCGCAAAAAGAGACACCTTGACTTCCTCTCTTCCTGTTTGAACATGCTTTATTTCTTTCTCTTGCCCAATTGCCCTGGCCACAACTTCCAATATTATATTGAATAGGAGCGGTGAGAGAGGGCCCCCTTGTCTTGTACTGGTTTTCAAAGGGTATGCTTCCAGCTTTTTGCCCATTCAATATGATATTGGCTGTGGGTTTGTCACAAACAGTTCTTATTATTTTGAGATATGTTCCATCTATACCTAGTTTATTGAGAGCTTTTAACATGAAGGGATGCTGAATGTTATCAAAGGTCTTTTCTGCATCTATTGAGATAATCATGTGGTTTTTGTCTTTGGTTCTGTTTATGTGATTGATTACATTTATTGATTTGCATATGTTGAACCAGCCTTGCATCCCAGGGATGAAGCCCACTTGATCGTGGTGGATAAGTTTTTTGTTGTGCTGCTGGATTCGGTTTGCCAGTATTTTATTGAGGATTTTCGCATTGATGTTCTTCAGGGATATTGGCCTGAAGTTTTCTTTTTTTGTTGTGTCTCCTTTCGGTTTTGGTATCAAGATGATTCTGGCTTCATAAAATGAGTTAGGGAGGAATCCCTCCTTTTCAATTGTTTGGAATAGTTTCAGAAGACATGGTACCAGCTCCTCTTTGTATTTCTGGTAGAATTCAGCTATGAATCCATCTGGTCCTGGACTTATTTTGGTTGGTAGGCTATTAACTACTGCCTCAATTATAAGGCTTGTTATCAGTCTATTCAAAGAGCTAACTTCTTCCTCATTTAGTCTTGGTAGGATGTATGCTTCCAGGAATTTATCTATTTCTTAGATTTTCTACTTTATTTGCATAGAGGTGTTTATAGTATTCTTGGATGGTAGTTTGTATTTCTGTGGGGTCAGTAGTGATATCCCCTTTATCATTTTTTATTGTCTCAATTTATTCTTCTCTCTCATCTTTATTTGTCTAACTGGCAGTCTATTTTGTTATTTCAAAATAACACTTCCTGGATTCATTGATTTTTTGGAGGGTTTTCTGTGTTTCTATCTCTTTGAATTCTCCCCTGATCTTAGTTGCTTCTTGTCTTCTTCTAGCTTTTGAATTAGTTTGTTCTTGCCTCGGTAGCTCTTTTAATTGTGATATTAGGTTATTGATTTAAGATCTCTCTAGCTATCTGGTTTGGGCATTTAGTGCTACAAATTTCCCTCTTGACATTTGTTTAGCTGTGTCCCAGAGATTCTGGCACATAATCTCTTTGTTCTCATTGGTTTCAAAGAACTTATCAATCTCTGCCCTAATTTCATTATTTACCCAAGAGTCATTCAGGTTCAGGTTGTTCAATTTCCATGAAATTGTGTGGTTTTGAGTGAATTTCCTAATCCTGAGTTCTAATTTGATTGCACTGTGGTCTCAGAGACTGTTTGTTATGATTACAGTTCTTTTGCATTTGCTGAGGAGTGTGTTATTTCCAATTATGTGGTCGATTTTAGAATAAGGGCCATGTGGCACTGAGAAGAATGCATATTCTGTTGATTTGGGTAGAGAGTTCCGTAGACATCTACTAGGTCCACTTGATCCAGAGCTGAGTTCAAATCCTGAATATCTTTGTTAATTTTCTGTCTCGTTAATCTGTCTAATAGTGACAGTACCTTGTTAAAGTCTCCTACTATTATTATGTGGGAGTCTAAGTCTCTTTGTATGTCTCTAAGAACTTGTTTTATGAATCCAAGTGCTCCTGTATTGGGTGCATATATACTCAGAATAGTTAGCTCTTCTTGCTGAATTGTTCCCTTTATCCTTATGGAATGCTCTTCTTTGTCTTTTTTGATCTTTGTTTCTTTAAAATCAGAAGATTGCAATCCCTGCTTTTTTTTATTTTTTATTTTTTTTTGCTTTCCATTTGCTTGGTAAATTTTCTTCCATCCCTTTATTTTGAGTCTCTATGTGTCTTTGCACTTAAGGTGGGTACCCTGAATACAGCACACCAATGGGTCTTGACTCCTTATCCAGTTGCTCAGTCTGTGTCTTTTAATTGGGGCATGTAGCCCATTTACATTTAAGGTTAGTATTGTTATGTGTGAATTTGATCCTATTATCATAATGTTATCTGGTTATTTTGCACACTAGCTGACACAGTTTCTTTGTAGTGTCATCGGTCTTTATATTTTGATGTGTTTTTGCAGTGGCTGGTACTGGTTTTTCCTTTCCATGTTTAGTGCTTCCTTCAGGAGCTCTTACAGGGCAGGCCTGGTGGTAATGAAATCCTTCAACATTTGCTTGTCTGGAAATAATTTTATTTCTCCTTTGCTTCTGAAGCTTAATTTGGCTGGATGTGAAATTCTGGGCTGAAAATTCTTTTCTTTAAGAATGTCGATTATTGGTTCCCAATCTCTTCTGGCTTGTAGTTTCTTCTGAGAGTTGTGCTGTTAGTCT
The DNA here is from genome assembly GCF_000001405.40 of Homo sapiens. NCBI lineage: Eukaryota > Metazoa > Chordata > Mammalia > Primates > Hominidae > Homo > Homo sapiens. The sequence goes on along the minus strand of NC_000005.10, from coordinate 26,150,304 downwards.
GATGGGCTTCCCTTTGTAGGTAGCCTGGCCTTTCTCTCTGGCCATCCTTAATGGTTTTTCCCTCATTTCAACCTTGGAGAATCTGATGATTGTGTGTCTTGGGGTTGATCTTCTCATAGAGTATCTTAATGGTGTTCTGTTTCCTGAATTTGCATGTTGGCCTGTCTTGTTGCTAGGTTGGGGAAGTTCTCCTAGATAATATCCTGAAGTGTGTTTTCCAGCTTGATTCCATTCTCCCTGTCTCCTTCTGGTACTCCAGTCAATCATAGGTTCAGTCTTTTTATGAAGTCCCATATTTCTTGGAAGCTTTGTTCATTCATTTTCATTGTTTTTTCCCTATTCTTGTCTTTGTGTCTTATTTCAGTAAGGTGGTCTTCAAACTCTGATATCCTTTCTTCTGCTTGGTTGATTCAGCTGTTGATACTTGTGTATGCTTCACAAACTTCTTGTGCTGTGTTTTTCGGTTTCATCAGGTCGTTTATGTTCCTCTCTAAACTGGTTATTTTAGTTAGCAATTCCTCTAACTTTTTACCAAGGTTCGTAGCTTCTTTGTATTGGGTTAGAACATGCTTTTTTAACTCATCCTAGTTTTTTATTACCCACCTTCTGAAGCCTACTTCCATCAATTTGTCCATCTGTCCTCTATCCGATTCTGGGCCTTTTGTATTTTCAGCAGTTTTTTTCACTGATTCTTTCTCATCTACCTGAGTTTGTCTAGTTTCTGTCTTTGAGGCTGCTGACCTTTGGATGGGTTTTTTGTGGGGACATTTTTGTTGTTGTTGTTGTGGTTGATGATGATGCTGTTGTTGCTTTCTGCTTGTTTTCCTTTCAATAGGCAGGTCCCTGTTCTGTAGGGCTGCTGCAGTTTGCTGGTGGTACGCTTCAGGCCTTATTCATCTGATTCATTCCCATGCTTGGAGATGTCACTCAAGGAAGCTGGAGAGCAGCAAAGATGAGTGCCTCCTCCTTCTTCTGGGACTTCTGACCTTGACAGGCACCAACCTAGTAGGATCACTTTTGTATAGAGTGTCTGAAAACTCTGTTGGAAGATATCACCCAGTTGGGTGTCATAGGGAGCAGGGCCCATTTAAAGAAGCACTTTGTCCCTTGGTGGAGGCGGTGTGTTTTGCTGGGGGGAAACCCACTTCTCTGGGCTGCCTGGATTCCTCAGAACTACCAGGAGGAAAGGCTAAGTCTGCTGGTCCACAGCGACTGTGGCCACCCCTACTCCTAAGGGCTCAGGCCCAGGGAGATCCGAATTCTGTCCCTGAGCTTCTGGCTGGAGTTACCGGAGATCCTGCAGGGATGCCCCACCCACTGAGGAAGGATGGGTCAGGGTTAGACCTGAAGAGGCATTCTGGCCGCTGACTGCCACAGCTGGCATGTTAGGCTGTGGGGACATGTCTTAAGACCAAGCCGTCCAGCATCCCTGGCTCCAGCAGGGGAAAAGCACAGCCTGAGCTATAGAAATGGGTGTCGCCCCCTCCCCCACCCAGGGAGCTTAGCGTGTTAGGCAGTTGCCAGTCCCACTGCTGGCTGCTGCCCCTTCCTCAAAGAGTTCAAATGGCTTAGAGAGCAGGCAGCTGCAGGCAGTGCTGGTTGCCCCACCCCCTCCCCACTGCTGGGAGTTCAGTAGGCTTAAGCAGATTCCAGCTGAGAAGCTGTAAGAATCTGCATGATTCCTGGTTGGGGCACTAGGCACTGGTAGCATGAGTTCATGAGTGGTATCTTCTGATCCGTGGGTTGCACAGTTCTGTGGAAAAAGCACAGTTTCCACGGGTGGGTAGAGCACTCACTCATTGCCTCCCTCGGCTGCAGGGAGGGGGTTTCCCTTCCCCATGTGGCTCTCAGGTGGGTCGCAGCACCACATGCCCTTCCTTCTCTCTGTGGGTCATGCCAGCCTTCTAGTCAATTTTGCCAGTGAGGATTCACATGCTTATTATGTTTTTTTTCAATGGAAACCTCTGAAGGCAGCCATCTTGCCTACCCCCCAATTTTTTACATTTTTATGGCTGAACAATATTTCATTATACATACATATATGTATGCAATATATACAAAATGCCATAAATATATCATATTCATATATACAAAATATATGTGATATTCATATATCACATTAATATATTACATATTCTTTATTGATTTAGCCACTGGCAGACACTTGAGTTGCCCACATGTTGGCTTTTGTGAATAACGCTGAAATGAACGTGGGAGTGCAGATATCTATGAGATACCAATTTGTCTCCCTTTATATATATATATACACACACACACGATATCTATGATATCTATTATATATATAAAACTTGTGTGTCTGTGTATATATACCGCAAAGTGCAATGATGGATTCCTACTTTTAATTGTTTGAAGAAGCTCTGTACTTTTTTTCCATCATGGCCGTGCTAATTTATAGTCCCACTAACAGTGCACAAGGGCTCCCTTTTCTGCATGTCCTTGCTAATACTTATTAGCTTTTGAATTTTAGATAATAGCCATCCTAACAGGTGTAGCCTTATGTGGCTAATAGAATGAGCACTAGATTTCAGCTGCTTCCTGCCACACATAGTAGGGCAACAATAAATTAATGAATGACAATTGAGCATTTGAGCAAGCTTACGGCAGTTAAAATTTGATTTTAGTTTTCTGGCATCTATTCCTGGAGAGGACAGCAATATTCTATCTTATAGAAAAAAGGCCAACCTATATCAACAATGCATATTCCAAATTGTCACTATGATTTATTTCATGGCTATCTGACTGTAATATCAGAAATATAGGTGCCTGTGGCTTTCCGTAGCTGATTATTTTCAAGATTAATTACATTTGAAGACAAGTTTGGCAGACTACTGTATATTGGGATTTAGTTCAAAGTGATCTCATGCTCTTTTTGTCGAGTGTCAGTATTTTAAAATATCTTTAATTCAATGCAAATATCGCATGGGGGTTAGCAGATAAATTAACATTGATTTTTCTTCCTGAAATGTGCTAAGACTATGCTAGGAAAATATCAAAGACATGTTTTTGTGTTGATACAATGAATGATTAAAGGAAAATATCTCAGAGGTATGTTTTAATGAAAGAAACAATTGAAATTTGTTGAAGAGTCTAGAAAACATAATTACTTTAGCCATGAATTTTTTGCAGGGGTAAAGAGGTAAAAATGACCTACTGGCATATAAGACACACCATTTTTTTTTTTTAATTTTCTACCTGATAATAACAGCTATTGATATGCATAGATTTGACTGGTAATTCTAAGATCCTTTGTAGCATGCTCAAATTTTTTGTCATCCAGTTTTCACATTATTTGAATTCTCATTTTAAAAAGTAAAATGTATTTAAAAATTAGATTATTACTAGGAATATCTGAAAATTGTAACACTCTGAAACTGAAAACAGAACCAAAAGTCAAAACAGAAATAGTAATCCAGGAAAAATCCAGGGATCACAAGTTAGGGAGAGATATTTAAGAATCATATTTACAGGTCAGGTGCGGTGGCTCACGCCTGTAATCCCAGCACTTTGGGAGGCTGAGACAGGCAGATCACGAGGTCAGGAGTTCAAGACCAGCCTGACAATATGGTGAAACCCCATCTCTACTAAAAATACAAAAATTAGCCAGGCATGGTGGCACGCACCTGTAGTCCCAGCTACTCAGGAGGCTGAGGCAGAAGAATCACTTGAACCTGGGAGGCTGAAATTGCAGTGAGCCGAGATCATGCCACTGCACTCCAGCCTGGGCAACAGAGTGAGAGTCTGTCTCAAAAAATAAAAAAATAAATGAAAAATAAGAAAAAATAAAAAATAAAGAATCATATTTACATTCATTGTTGATTGTTAAAGATAAATTGCTGATTGTCGACGAGGAATAAGCAATTCTTTGTAATTATTATTTGTGTTTCTACTTTTTTTATTCTAAAGCTCACTATTGAGGTGTCCTATCCAATCTATTTAATCATTTTTATTTTACAAATAGAATTAAAATCAAGAAAAGTCTAGAGTTTTAGATAGTCTCACCATTTAGCATGGGACAAAACCTGACGTAAATCTGCCTTAGTCTTATTTTATGGGGCCTATCATCTATCTTAGCATGGCACAAAAATGGATGTAAATCTACCTTAGTCTTATTCTATGTTGTCTATCATCTATCTTCCCTTACATATACTATGTTTCGGCCACCTAACATATTTGTCATCTGTAGCCAACCCTTAATGTCTTAAAAAAAATTGATATTTCATATACAGTTCTTTATTTTCTCACTTTTCCAGATTCAACTGAAATGTCAATTTCTCCTTATGCCTAAGCTTCTTTTGAAATAGGAGCCACAGATTATCTGTATATCTTTAAAACTGTTCAATGCTTCATGTAGCATATTGATTCTCATTTTATAAAAGCAGTCATTTAAGTCATGTAAATATCCAAATTATAGATATCAATTCAGACACCTGGATCATAAAGCAGCAAAAACAATGAAGAAAAGGGTTGTGTAATTATGTCCACATTATCAAAAATAAAACATTAGCGAAAACTATAAAACTTCCCTCAGCTTCCTCATTTAAAACAACTTTCAAATTTCAAACTATTTGATGTTGAGATTTTTAATTACTTAAGCACAAGTGCAGATGCGAACATGACTGATGAACTCTTTACCTGACTTTTCAGCTAGAGTAAATTGCCTTTCAGAGAAGAGCCTTAAACACCATCTTGGTCAGTCTTATACCAAGATTACTACTTTTCTTTCTTTTTTTTTCTTTCTTTTTTTTTTTTAAATGGAATCTCGCTCTGTCGTCCAGGTTGAAGTGCAGTGGCGCAATCTGGGCTCACTGCAAGCTCCACCTCCCGGGTTCAGGCCATTCGCCTGCCTCAGCCTCCCGAGTAGCTGGGACTACAGGCGCCTGCCACCACACCCGGCTAATTTTTTGTATTTTTAGTAGAGATGGGGTTTCACCGTGTTAGCCAGGATGGTCTCGATCTCCTGACTTCGTGATCCACCTGCCTCGGCCTCCCAAAGTGCTGGGATTACAGGCGTGAGCCACCGCGCCTGGCCTACTTTTCTTTCTAATGAAAGTAATACTGCTCGAAAAACATGAAAGTATTCAATAATACCTAGAAAATTTAAAACGTAAATAGATTTAGTGAACTTCACTCTATAATTTTGTTGAAAATTAAATATTAAGTTTAAATTTTTCTTAAGTTTTTTTAGGTGTGTTGCTTAATTTGTTGGCCAATTGATTTAAATTTAGTCTTCTATGAGCTTCCTTATTTTTCTATATTTCTATCATGTTACTTACATATTTCTGAGGCTTAAAAGAGATGTGGTTACTTCTTATTTTAGGGTATTTAAATCATATTTATTTTCATGAGTTCAATATAAAACAATGAGAATTAATACACATAGTGGGCAGAAATTAGACTCTGGAACTAGACTTTCTGATTTGAATCCTGAAATTGCCAATAAGAGATTAAATAACTTCATACTAACTTAACTTTCTTGTGCTTTAGTTTCCTCGTCTTCAAAGTGGAGCTACTTAGTTAACAGAGTTATCATAAAATTCAAATTAATTGGTTTTATTAAAATGTGGTAAAGATGCATTGCATATATGAATATTCAAGAAGTAATTATTTTCCATCTTGGTAAAAAATAAAGCTCTTCTTATAAGTCAATATATAACTTTTAATGGAGTTCAGTTTATCATGAGATATTATTTTAATGAGTGTACAAAAATCATATACTTTAACTTGTTTTTTGTAATGCAGTGAGTTTTCTAAATTCCACAAGTATGTTGCCTTCCATTTAAGGATATTATTTTGTATTCTCACTTGGCTTTTAAATTTCATATATTTTATAGTTGTCCATACATGGCTTATATCAAGTATTAACAGAAGAGCTAGACTTGGAATGCAAGCACTTGGGGATTCTTATTTTGAATCTGTGGTAGTTTCAACGCTTATTTTTTGTATATATATAATATGTATTTATATTGACGGTGGGATATCAATAATATTTTCAGTGACAGAAGCCACTTTTCACATGACATTAATAATGCTTAATCCCAAGGAAGAATATCTCTTTTAGTCACAGCTGGGAGACAGTATTAAACAGTAACATTTTTTCTTAAAAATAGTAAAGAGAGATGTTATATATTCAGCATTATTCCTAACATTTATCAGTAATTTAATGTAACACAAAAAATACATTTCTTCAACCTTGCACACAAGAATCTGTCTGCTCACTTAAAGGGGACTCAAGCATATTTCCATAGGTGACCTAATTTGATGACCTTATTGATCCATAATTTTAAATAATTTTTAAAATGTATTAAGTGACAATTATGGTTCAGTAAACATAATTAACTATTTGTATCTTCAAACTAAGATTTTTACCAAAGTCACCTCTTCTATGCATAGGTATTTTGTGTTTCTGAACCCTAACAATTAGTCAAACATAATTTATGTTTCTTCAATGGCTTTATTTATACAGTAGTATATCCCAATAATGTGTTGAGGAAAAATGGCGAGATTACCAGGAAAGTTAGTAAGGCAAAAGATATTCTTCTCCTTTATGTTTGATTTCTGAGATTTTGAAGATATATATTAATATATAACAAAAATCCAGCGTAAATTAGAGAATTTGTGCAAATTGTAAATGTGTAGATCATTTTTAACTTCCAACTTTGCTAACTTTGTAGGCTTTAATAATCTAAAATTTATATTGAAACTCTCCAAGAGAGGAATTTAATTAAGTTCTTTTGTTCTAGTAAAACTGACCGTCACCACCACAAACTTGTTTCAGAAATGCCACTTGATGTTTTGCTACCATCTCAATGTACTTATTTGGCACCTACTTCCATTCTGACGTCACACTAAAGAAGAATGACCTATTTAGAAAATTTTTATTTCAATGTAGGTTTAATTTCAAGGAAGTGTTGCCAAAGTGAACATAAAAGAAAACTGCATAAATGTCCAATGCAATTTGTATACAGCAACATATAACTCTACCAGAAGTGGACCTAGCTGTGATGAAGCTTTTGGAATTGTTTTCTTGACAGCTACATCAGGAAGATTAGTATCTTCCATATTCCTTTGTAACTTTTTGAGGCAATACTACCTTTGAGTATCAGGATAGTAGGATGAATGGTTCAGAAGTTAACAGCACAAAAACACAGCCCCCTCTTTCCTCTTTCTTCTCTCCTCCCCTACTCTTCATATATTATATTAAGCACAGGGAATTACCTATTACTCCCTAAAACCTAACATGGTTTCACAACTTGTTCTCTCTAATTGCTTTAATTCTCCTTGCCAGGAGATAATTTTAGGCCCAATTTGCTGCATTTTTCATTTTGTTTCAAAATTAAATAAGGCTGATTTATTCTCACAATATCAGTGGTGGAGGTCATAGCAGTGTTTACTTATCTAATTATCTGAAAAATAAGAAAGTTTATGTTTAAGAAATCAAAATTCCAAGACCATACATCTTATATTGCCTAGATACCACAACACTTTTACACGACAGAATTTATGCTGGAGTGAAAAATTTTCCAAATCTTAATCTTCCCCACGTTTCTTTGCCAAGGGCCATATCTGTCAGTGTCTTGTATTTAATGCAATGCACAAGATATTTTTGAAATACAGAATACATTTGCTATTCACAACAACAAAGGCAAAAGGGGTGATAATACCAAATTTACAAAAAATTTGGTCCACATAGAAAAAGAAAATGAACTTTGGAAAAGCTAACATATATAGTTTATCTACAGTCTGAGAAACAATTAATCTGCCAAAAAAGATGGCTACAAGCTAGCAGAGATGGTAATTACCTGATCTAAAAGACACGTGAGTTAAGTAAGAAATATGCATTCATTTACTGGAAATGCAAGAAGACTCTCTCATAATAAGAGTAAGAATCATTACAAATAATTGCTTATTTTTATTTTTATTTTGAGACAGGGTCTCCCTCTGTCACCCAGGCTGGATTGCAGTGGCACGATCGTGGTTCACGCAGCCTCGCTCTTTTGGGCTCAAGCAGTCCTCCCACCCCAACCTCCCAAGTAGCTGAGAATATAAGCACATAACACCATACCTGGCTAATTTTTTTAGCACTTTTTTTTTTTTGTAGCAACAGGGTTTCATGTTTTCCAGGCTGGTCTCAAACTCCTTGGCTCAAACAATCCACCTACCTCAGTTTCCCAAATTTCTGGGATTACAGGCATGAGACACTGTGCCCAGCTAAAAAAAAAAAAATGGTTTTATACTAGAAAAATAATTGAAAAGAAATAATATATTCTATTGCCAAAAATAGTCTTCTTACATGAAATACTTTTACATCTAATGTTTGTTATAATGGAGCATTATATTAGGCAGCATATAAGGAAAAACATCATGGTAAAAACTATCTGCATGAACAGTGGTGTTTTGAATTTTCTGTAGAAAAGTTACACTCTCTAATATATAGCATTAATTGAAGGGTTAAAAGGTGTCTGTATTCTTTAAGTAAGTAAAGTCTTGTATAGAGATGACAGTATATACACAAATCTGTGAGGTATTATATTTCTATGAAAAAGTAAATAGCCAAAAATGTCCCTGTGTGACATGAATGGAGTAGCTCTGAGCTTCAAGTACTCAAGATAAAAATATTACCATAGAGTTAGAATTTGTTTAAAATAACTTGGAATACATATATACACACACACACACACACACACACACACACGCACACACGCACACACCATGTATATGTGCATGCGTGTGTGTGTGTATATCATGAAAACAATGCTAAGGAATTCAGTGAAAACAATGTTCAAGAATAGAGAATTTACAAAGTTAAGGAAATTGTTACTAAAAGTATATCCAAGCAAGGGGAGTAAACTCAATTACAAGGAACAAATTTTGTAACCATGTAAAGTGTTAGAGAAATGGCAGGGCATTCTCTATGTTTTAATATAAAATATGATGGGAGGTGAAGGAGAGAAGGAGAAGAGAGAGGAGATATGAAAATAAAGATCCTACAGAAATCTCCCTTTTGTTTCTGTGTTAATGTTAATCGCTTAGCCATGCTTCCCTGCTATCTTGATATTTAAAGTCAATTTTGGTTCCTCAAGAAGTTAGAAAGGCAATATGGAAGATACTAATCTTGATGTAGCTGTCAATGCTTCATTCATAACAGACATCAATCTTGGTGCATACTTACTTTTATAGAGAAATCTTTTTGAACTTCCTTTTGGTTTCTGCTGTCAGTTACTATCAATCAGTCAAACCTTTTAAAGTAAACTAGAATAGAATTCTTAGGTCACCTTTATTTTGTTGCTTCTCAAAAGAAGCGTATAAAAGGACAAATGATTTCATTGAATGGCTGTTATGTATATTAAATATATCTTTTAAATATTCCAGGCACTTTCATAGTCATCGCATATCTTACAGTTTATTTAAGATGGTATGCAAGCCTAATCTTAGTCTTATTTTATTAGTCTGGCATTAGCACCTCAGAGACTTAACTTGACATAAAACACTTTTCTAAAGTTAGAAAAAGTAAATTTCAATACCTAGAAATGAGCTCTCACCTTGATAAAAATAAAAAATACGGCAAGCCTTTACTTTCAATGTCTTTCTCCATCAGAGAATCAATTTTCATGTAGTGATTCTAAACTCATATGAGGAAAACATAAAATAATATTTTGAATCAGTTTAGCTCAATTAAATGTTTCCAAGCATAATTTATTAAAGTATTGAATGTCAGATCTTCTGTACTTAAAAAACAAGATCAGTTATTGCTAATGAAATACCAAGTAATTTTTTCAAAAGTGGCTTTCGAATAATTATGTATTTTATTTTCATAAAATTAAAGCAACATGAACACATCATAGCTCATTTTAATATTATTTGAAAAACATTAAATTCAAGCAATTTGTATAACATTTAAGGAGCAAACATTATTTTGGAGCAAATAAACCAAAGTAATGTATTATTTAAAACTAAATTGTATTCTAGGCAAATGAGGTTTTTTTCTATGAGTATTGGATTCCTTGCCAGATAAACAATTTGATTGAACCAAATGTTTACATCTCTCATATAATTCTATAATGTAAAATTTAGTAAATATATTTAAGGTAAGAAGTTAGATAAACTGAATAGAAGATAATTGATAACTGATTGAGGAACAGACACTAATTTCTACGCCACACACGTTATTTAATATGTATGTATTGCTGTAAGTGTACAGAGAACATAAATTATGCCTCAGAAAAAAAATGTGTTTTGTCCTCTTGTTGGAATAGGATAAAAATAAATATGTTTAGGTATAGAAAATTAAAGAGTTACATATTTCTTGCACATCTAAATTTGCAACTGACGTAAATACCTGCTACTGTTGTGGCATTTTTACTCACTTAGTTTGGCGGGCTGGAGTGTTACAGCTCTTTTACTCCGGCAGTTCGGCAAGTTGCGGATTCTTGTCCTGCAACCAAGAGGAATAAGATGTGTGAACACTGGAGAGGGGTAGGGCAGAGTAGAATGTATTGAGTGAAATAAAAGTTCTCAACGGCAAGGGGGGACCCAAAAGTGGGTAGCTGTCTGTGAAGTGGAGCCTGGGGTTTTTATGGTCCTAGAATGGGAGAATGAGTGCTGACTGGTTTATGGGTGGGCTTGGAAAAGGCACCATTCAATTGGTTGAAAGACGTTGTTCAGAAAGAACCAATTGAGAGAGTGGGTAAAACAGGGATCGAAGGTCCCACTCCAGACTGTGGTTTCTATCCAGAATTGATAACTCAATTTTCTTGACTTGAAGGTCAAGATTCACTGGGGACCCTTCCCTATTTGCCTAGGAATTTGTCTGTCTCTACTCTTACATGAGTTTGGATTTAAACAAGTGAAGGTACTGCATATCTAATAGGTAGACAAGTTTTGTTATCAAGGTAAATGTAATACCTATGCAACTAATAAAATAATTATATAATTTATCAGTGTATTCCAATAATAACCCTATATGTGAACAAATAGAACAGTCATACACTATTCTTTTATTCATGTGGATATTTAAAAACATACACTGGATTATCTGGGTTTATGTCCCTGCCGCTGTCTTGGAAATTCTCTTGTCTCAAAGTATGCCTCTGGACTTAACTTCTGAACTATGGTGGTCTCCAGATTGCTACTTATTGTCAGAATTAATTATTCAAACAAGCCATTTCCAAAATGATTTTTGGGCTGATATCAATTTTAAGGTCCTCAAAGAACAACATGGATAAGTGGCTCCAACCTTTCAGTGACATTACCATTATTGGATACATAGTGGCAGTAGGAGTGAGCCAGAAGTGGTGTAATGGAAAATAGGATTAAAATTAGTAACTAAGAACTCAAAAATTAGCTCCCATTTAGTTTTATCTGAGTTAACGCAAATGATAGAATTAAATATCTGTTTCTATAGACTTGGGAGTATAGGAAATAGGTTTTTTTCATTGGTAAGCTAGTTTTATTACACTTGTATCTTAAAATGGCAATATTTTTGCATATTGCATAATAAATCAAAATAATAGTAAAATGATTACTGATTTTATTTTGTAATATAGTTTAATGTCATTAATCATTGCTGAATTTATCTTCATCTTTAGAATACAATATTTCTGGCAATAATTTTTGTTGAAAGGATAATGATGTATTTGTAATGCACTTATTTTTAGATTTACTGAAGTGCATCCCATAGTAACATTAACTTGACTTTTACATACTTGTATTCAGTCATATTTAATCAGTAATGAAATATATTAAATAAACCATCACATAACACTGATCTAATTTAGCTTGTTAGATTATTAAAAGAGTAACAAGGTTTAACTTTGTGAGCAAAAAAGATATTTATTTAAATAACTAAACATAGGGTCACCAAGAACTTTATATATAAAAGTTAAACAAAGAGAAATAAAAGGATTCATAAAAGTAGAAGGCCACATTGTAGGAAACATGGAATAAAGATACAAGTTTCTAAATTCTCTAAATTGATACATTCTGCCAGATGTTATTGTACAAATTCAGTACATGAGAGAAAATACCATCACAGGTTACCTATGCATATAACATCTCTGCATAGCAATGTTACTAACTTGGATATTTTCCCTCCAAAGCACTTATTTACAATTATAATTGATTACAAGGTAACTATTTTTGTTGTTTACTTAATGTTTCCTAATTTATTAGCTTCATACACCTAACAACCAGGACTGTCCAGCAATTTTCAGATATCTTCCTATGATTAGGAGTTAATAAATAGCTGATGAAGTAATTAAGTAATTAACAAATGACAATATAAGGAAAAGTAACATAAACCATTATCTGTTTTTTCCATTATCATTTTGTCACTACAGCATCCTGCCTGCTACCTATGAATAATGCACTTCTTGAGGTTAAGGAAATACTTACCTTCATTGATATTAAAGAACCATGTCTAATTAGGGTGGGGTTTGAAGATGTCACCAACGCTTTTGTTTATTACACATTTTTTTTTTGCTTTGGATGTATTAATTTTTCAACTAACATATTTTGTTCATACTTTTTTTTTAAGTTTATCTCTCTCTATTTAAGTTTCTTCTAAATTTCAAAATTTTAGCTCTGGCCAGTTTTAAATATATGTATTTATGAACTGGCAAGAACCTGAATATAATACAGGTGCAGAAAACATATTTATATTATGTATTTTCAGTTGGAAATGATGTTGTTTAGTTTTAAAATATTGAGCAAACTGTATCATTTAAACTTACTGTGCCATGTGTTTAACATTTAACATTATATATTTGATAATCATGTCATTTAAATATTCTTAACTACTAACCCATATTCATCTTGGAAAACCTCACTCATTTTCTTGAATTTAGTCATTAAAACTTTTATCTATTGTCTTTATTGAAATTAATTTTAAATCTTATTTTTTAATGAATTTCTATTTTAATAATTTCAACTTTTATTTTAGATTCAGAGGGTTCGTGTGCAGGTTTATTACATGAGTATATATAGTGTGATGCTGAGAGCTAGAGTACAAATGATCCCGTCAACAAGGTAGTGAGAATAGTACCCAGTAGATTTGCAAACCTGGTCCCCAACCTCCCTCATTCCTCTAGTAGTCCCCAGAGTCTATTGTTCCCATGGTTATGTCCATGAGTACTTCATGTTTAGCTCCCACTTATAAGTAAGAACCTGTGGCATTTGGTTTTCTGTCCCTGCATTAATTCGCTTCGGATAATGGCCTCCAGCTGCATCCATGTTGCTGCAGAGGACATAATTTTGTTCTTTTTTATGTCTGCATAGTATTCCATGGTATATACATACTACATTTTATTACAGTCCACTATTGATGAACACCTAGATTGATACATGTCTTTGCTATTGTGAATAGTATTGCAATGAACATATGAGTGTGTGTGTCTTTTTGATAGAATGATTTGTTTACTTTTGGATATATAGCCAGTAATGGGATTGCTGGGCAAATAGTAGTTCTGTTTTAAGTTCTTTGAGAAATCTAATTGATTTCCACAGTGACTGAAGTAATTTACCTTCCTACCAACAGTGTATAAGTGTTTCCTTTTCTCCATGTGTCTTGAATAGATTTTTGTTTAAAATCAATACCTGAAACTTGGTTTAAGAGGAACAAAAATATTACAAAAGGGTCAAAAGCATATATCAAACTTTAAATTATGAGAACAATTTTACCAAAATCAGAAAAAAATAGCCTTAAAAATTACTGGAATCAAATATGATTTGCTTACCTAAAATGTTATGCAGCTTTATTATCTTTTTAGTAATACTACATTGAGCTTACTAATTTTACATATTCATGATAGAATATGATAATATTTTACTTTCATTTGTATTTGCCCACTGGGTGGTCAAAGAACAAAAAACAAATAAAATGCATTTTATTATATTCAGTTAAGTACCAAGCACCGACTGACTACTAATATTTCAAGCTGATTCACAAGTATGACAGGAATACTAATACAATAAAATGTTTCAGTCACCAAGAAGTCACATTTATTTGTCAGTAGAATAATTTTTGGAAAAACTGACTTGTGTACTCTCTGAGCTCTTAGTTCTAATCTCATTTTCCCAAGATAAAGGTTATATAAAATGTCATCTTATTTATAATTACACCTAATACAATTAAAGTAATTTTAAAAACTATAAAATAGTGCATATTTTAAGAATATAGCTTTCAGAATATTAAGAATATGGTAGAAAAATACATTTGTTACCAACACTAAACTGCAAATGAAATGGAAAATGCACATTTTCAGTTAATCATTAATCAAATGCAATGTAAAATGAAATGCAATTAATTGATATACCTAATATCAAGTAAATATACTCAAGATGTTTCATTACACACATAAGGTATTGGTGGGAAAGTAATCATTCTATATTCAATCAAAACACTGGTTATTTATATAAAACTTTTATTTTAGAATAATAATACAATTAGAGAAAATTTGTAGAGAGAGTTTAGATAATTCCCATACTAAATTAACCCCACTTCTCCAGTGTTAAACTCTTACATAAACATGCAACATTTGTCAAAATTTAAAATTTACATCAGTACAATACATTAAGTAAACTATATAGTTTATTCAGATACAGTTACATTTTAAAACATCAGTGGAAATCATTGATCATACTTGGTTATGTTACCCATAACAGGTGTTTGGTGATGTTTGAATTAATAACAATGCATAGAAACATTTTTGATTGATAGTAAGCAGAAAAATGACCCCCGAGATATCCATGTCCAAATCCATCAAACCTATGAATACCTAATTTTACAAGACAAAATGTACTTTGCAGATGTAACTAAATCAAGGATCTTCAGATGGGAAAATTATCCTGGATTATCAGACTAGGCTGAAAGTCATCACAAGAATATCTATAAAAAGAAGTAGAAAGATCAGAGTTAGAGTGGAAATGTGACCATGCAAGCAGAGGTTCAAGAGATCCACTTTGAAGATACATGATTGTATATTTAGAAAACCCCATCATCTCAGCCCCAAAACTCCTTAAGCTGATAAGCAACTTCAGCAAAATCTCAAGATACAAAATCAATGTGCAAAAATCACAAGCATTCATATACACCAAAAATAGAAAAGCAGGGAGCCAAATTATGGGTGAACTCCCATTCACAATTGCTATAAGGAGAATAAAATACCTAGAAATACAATTTACAAGGGATATGATGGACCTCTTCAAGGAGAACTACAAACCACTGATCAAGGAAATAAGAGAGGACACAACAAATGGAAAAACACTTCATGCTCACGGATAGGAAGAATCAATATCATGAAAATGGCCATACTCCTCAAAGTAATTTATAGATTCAGTACTATTCCCATCAAGCTACCACTGAATTCTTCACAGAATTAGAAAAACTTTCTTTAAATTTCACATGGAACCAAAAAGAGCCCAGATAGCCAAGACAATCCTAAGCAAAAAGAACAAAGCTGGAAGCATCACACTACTTGACTTCAAACTGTACTACAAGGCTACAGTAACCAAAAGAGCATGATACTGGTACCAAAACAGATATATAGACCAATGGAACAGAACAGAGACCTAAGAAATAACATCACACATCTACAACCACCTGATCTTTGACAAACCTGACAAAAATAAGCAATGGGGAAACAATCTCCTATTTAATAATTGTGCTGGGAAAACTGGCTAGCCATATGTAGAAAACAGAAGCTGAAGCCCTTTGTTACACCTTATACAAAAATGAACTCCAGATGGATTACAGACCTCAATGTAAAACCCAAAACCATAGAAACCCTAGAAGAAAACCTAAGCAATACTATTCAGGACATAGGCATGGGCGAAGACTTCATGACAAAAACACTGAAAGCAATGACAACAGAAGCCAAAATTGACAAATGGGATCTAATCAAACTAAAGGGCTTCTGCATGGCAAAAGAAACTGTCATCAGAGTGAACAGGCAACCTACAGAATGGGAGAAAATTTTTGCAAACTACTCATCTGACAAACGTCTAATATCCAGAATCTAAAAAGAACTTAAATTTACAAGAAAAAAAAAACAAACAATTCAATCAAAAAGTGGGCAAAGGATATGAACAGACACTTCTCAAAAGAATACAATTATGCAGCCAATGAACATATGAATAAAAATTCATCATCACAGGTCATTAGACAAATGCAAATTAAAACTACAATGGAATACCATCTCATGCCAGTTAGAATGGTCATTATTAAAAAGTCAGGAATCAACATGCTGGCAAGGCTGTGGAGAAATAGGAACGCTTTTACACTGTCGATGGGAGTGTAAATTAGTTTAACCATTGTGGAAGAAACCGTGGCTATTTCTCAAGGATCTAGAACCAGAAATACCATTTGACCCAGCAATCCCATTACTGGGTATATATGTAAGGTATTATAAATCATTCTACTATAAAGACACATACACACATATGTTTATTGCAGCACTATTTACAATAGCAAAGACTTATGTCCATCACTGATAGGCTGCATAAAGAAAATGTGGCACATATACACCACGGAATACTATGCAGCCATAAGAAAGAATGAGTTCATGTACTTTGCAGGAACATGGATGAAGCTGGAAGCCATCACTCTCAGCAAACTAGCACAGGGACAGAAAACCAAACTCTGCATGTTCTCACTTATAAGTGGGAGTTGAACAATGAGATCACATGGACACAGGAATGTGGACATCATACACTGGGCCTGTTGGGGCATGGGGGACAAGGGGAGGGAGGGTATCAGGACAAATAGCTAATTCATGCGGGGCTTAAAACCTAGATGACGGGTTGATAGGTGCAGCAAACCACCATGGCACATGTATGCCTATGTAACAAACCCACATATTCTGCACATGTATCCCAGAATTTAAAGTTAAAAAGAAACAAACAAACAAAACACAACTTTGCCTTACCTTAGATCAAAAATATTTTCTCATACGTTTTCCTCTAGCAGTTTACAGTTTTACATTTTACTTTGAAGTCTGTGATCCATTTTGAATTAATTTTTATATACAAAGTATGGATTAAAGTTCTTTTTTAAAGACAGGAACATCTCTTTTCCAGTATTATTTTCTAAAAAATAAAATAAAATAAAAAACTATCTTATTCCACTAAATTGCTTTTGCATTTTTGTAAGGAAAAAAAGAAGGAGCAACAGGCCATGGTTCAAGTAATGAAAGCAGCCACTGAAAGCTGGAAAAAGCAAGGGAATTTCTCCCTATATCTTGCAGAAAAATTGCAGCCCTTCTGTCTCTTTTTAGATGTCTAAACTCCAGAATTGTAAAATCATAAATTGGTGGTGTTTCAAGTTTGTGGTAATTTGTTACAGTAGATATAGAAAATTAATACAATATCCTTACTAACTCTGTTTTACGTCAGCATTTACAAAATTTTTTTCTCATAAATCCTGCTGCTTCAGCTTTACTCTAGGCAAAGCTGTAATATCCTCACTCACTTCAGTTCCTTCTCTCAAGTTTCAGTATGTTCTTGGCCTTAAATATTGCACATGATGTTTTCTTGCCTACCTCTCTTGACATATATGAATATTAATTATTTTTACATATATGAAGTGTTTTTTAACAACCAAAACTTAATAATCTATTTCTTCTTCCTGGAAAAGCTAGAAACTTTTATTTTTGCTACATTTTTTTTTCAATATGTATACTCTTTTCATTGACATGGGAGCCTTCCTTGAGGGCTCATGAAATCTCCAGGTCCTTGCACAGCAGCTGACTCATAGTAGACATATAGTAAGTCTTTATTTACATATGAATGGAAATACCATTTTAGCTAACATTTATAAGATAATATATGTATTTTAAATAGTAAGGAAAGGAATTCTCCCTATCAATAAATCTAGTCAATAAATATAGTCTCCAAATTGTTGTGTTATAATTACTTTGAAATATCACATTGGCGGTTAATTAAAATAATAATGTGAGCACATTTATTCAAGCACTACTCAACATGTTCTGGCAATACTCCAATTGTTTAACTACCAACTATGTGAAAGCATAATGTTTTCTGTTTATTTATTTGTGTGTTTGCCATAAAAGGTGCTAATTAGTATGGTAAATAGATATGCAGGCTTATACATATAATTACAAGGAAATACATGTATTGCAGCATTTAAACTTTTATAATAAAATACCATATATGGTTAATTGATTAAGTAAAGTACTTTAGTTATATGCACTAATTCGTAATGAGACAACAGAGAGCAAACAAACCAAAATGTTAGTGGATTACCTATTAAAACTTATAATCCTTTATGCCTTTAAAAATCTAATACTTACCTTCACACAAAGACTTGGAACCAACCCAAAAGTCCATCAGTGATAGACGGGATAAAGAAAATGTGGTACATATACACCACGGAATACTATGCAGCCATAAAAATGATGAGTTCATGTCCTTCTCAGGTACATGGATGAAGATGGAAACCATCATTCTCAGCAAACCAACACAAGAACAGAAAACCAAACACCACATATTCTCACTCACACGTGGGAGTTAACAATTAGAACACATGGACACAGACAGGAGAACATCACACACTGGGGCCTGTCAGGGGATTAGGGGTTAGGGGAGGGATAGCATTAGGAGAAATACCTAATGTAGGTGATGGGTTAATGGCTGCAGCAAACCACCATGGCACATGTATAGCTATATAACAAATCTGCACGTTCTGCACATGTACCCCAGAACTAAAAGTATAATAATAATTTTTAAAAATCTAATGTTATATAATGGTTCCAATTTATAAATGTGTAGATTTTCTGTGTAGTTTTCAAAACATGAATTTTTGCTTAATATTTCTCAATTTTTAATATAGGCATAAAAACCTCAATATGCAAAATTTTTTTCATGTTCCCTAGAATTCTAAGTTTTCTATCTAAAAAATTTAGAATTCCTTATTGTTTTCTACTTGTTACCTTTTTTCACAATGCTATTTAATAAATTTCATTAAAAACATGTTGCTTAAGTAAATTAACTTTTAAATTGCACACCTTTTTAGTTTTTATTTTTCTTTTGTTCATTGTTAGTAATACATAATAGTTGTACATATTGATGGGTTACAGTGATATTTTCATACATGCATACAATGTAATGATCAAATCAAGATAAATGAGATTCATTACCTCAAATATTTATCATTTATTTGTGTTATTCCAAATCATCTATTGTAGCTATTTAGAAATATACAATAAACTATTATTAATTGTAGTAGCCCTAGTGTTCTATCAAACACTAGAAATGATTTCTTCTTCTAACTGTATTTTTGAACCGATCAGCATACCTCTTTCATCTCCTCTTTTCCTACTCTTCTCAGCTTTTGGTAACCACCATTCTAGTCACTACTTACATGAGACAATTTTTTAGCTCCCACACATGAGGGAGAACATGCACCTAACAACTATTTGTCTTTCTGTGTGTACTTATTTCACTACTCATCAGGGAAATTCAAATCAAAACCACATGACACATCATCTCACTCCAGTCCAAATGCTATTATCAAGGGGGCATAAAATAACAGATGCTAGTAAGGATGTGGAAAAAGGGGAAACCTTGCACATTATTTGTGGGAATGTAAAATTAGTATAGCCACACTATGGAAAACCATATGAAGATTCCTCAAAAAACTAAAAACAGAACTACCATGTGATCTATCAATCACACTGCTGAGTATATATCTAAAAGAAAGGGATCAGTATAACAAAGAGATGGTATAACAAAGAGACACCATAGCCAAGATATTAAATCAACCTCAGTGTCCATCATTGGATTAATGGATAAAGAAAATATGGTATATAAACACAATGGAATATGATTAAGGCATAAAAAGAATGAAATTCTATCATTTGCAGCAACATAAATGGACATGGAGGACATTTTGTTAAGTGAAATAAGTCAGGTGCAGAAAGGCATATCTACTTCTTTATGTGTGCATGTGTTTATATAACTCTAAACTCTCTAGATGTACTAAAATCAGTGATATAAAATAATCATTTTCTTACCACTTGTTATTCATCGATATTATAATGAATTATGTAAATAGCATTAATTATAGTATAATAGAAGACAAATACTGTGAATATCAGTAATTTTGGTTTTGAAAGTAAAATAATAATAATACATATAACAATCGCTCACTTTGTTCAATAGTAAAACAGCAAAAATCAAAAATAAACTTTTAGGCTTCTACAAAATAAAAGGGAATATTTTGTAGAAATATGTAAATTCATGAGTCATGTCAGGTCAAAAATATAGTAAACACATATAGGATTTGATATAAATAAAACCAAAATATGGATGACTTAATTAGTGTTATAATTATATCATAAATTTGTTTCAGATACAAAACCAATATGGGAAGTACTATCTAGAAAGTATATCTGTGCTCCTTTTACTATATTTTCTTCAAATATACTTTTTATTAGAAGGTAGTATTTTTATATTCCCTTCCTTATAGTAAGAAAATGAAATCAAAATTAATTATGAAAAGTAAACTTGATACAACATTATTCCCAAATTTGAATGCAGTTGTTTAACTTATGACTAAATTGTTATCTATTACTAAATTTTTAAATATATTGCTAGATTTACACATAGGTACATACTTACATATATCTATATACAAACACATATATAATGTATTTTGGAAACAACAAAATATCTGGAAGAAAAATCATTTGCACTTTACATTAGAAAGCTTGATTCTAACAGAAAACCATCTTTGAAATAAATGTTTTTGGGATACACAAAAGCTTTCAAGTACACAGTGGAGTCAACAAGAGCCCTAGCTGGTGAAACATGAGGATTACTACTGTGAAAAAATGCTTTTGACTGAAGTACCTGTAAGCTCTGTTTCAGGACTGTTGCCTATGACAGAAGAAAATAAAAGCAGCTCTGGAAACAACGAGGTTTTACCTAGAGTATGAAACATAGTTGCTAGGAAATCCCTCAAAAGTAAGCACAGTAAACAAAGAACTCTAAAATTCATTATATTCATATTTTCCACAAAAGATAATACAAAAGAAAGTCAGTATTCTTTACTAATTCTAAAATGAAGACAAAATTGTATGATAACACTAAGAAAATTTCGCAGTATCGGATGAACAAAACTTCTAATGGCAAAGCAGAGAGCCACCTACCGCCAAGATGTTGGATTTTAAACACCATTTACCACTAGAAAAGTGACACAGCCAGGATAAGAAAATACAAGAAGAGCCTGAAAAATCCTGGGGTATGAGGAAGTAAGAAAATTATTTTTAAAAAATTGCTTTTGAAAAGAGTATGTGTGACATCTCAAAGGAACTGTTAGTGGCCAAAATTGTTAAAATTGGGGCACAAAATAAATAATTGCAATATTAGATTTATCTGATAAAATAAATATCCACAACTCTGTACTTATACAAATAATTTGATATACTTTCAAAAATGTGAGAAAAGCAATTAATCTTTCTTCCATTAGCAATCCAATTAAAAACACAGAAGGAGAAAACATAGAAATAGAGAATTATCATTAGGCAAACATAACAATAATAGTGGTTGTAGACAAGATCCACCACTAGATGCTAAAATAAGTAGGCAATAAATAAAAGAAGTATGAGAAAACATGGGATTTGCATAGTCTTAACATATCTTCCCAAAGATAACATTTAAATACAAAAGGGAAGATAAATAACTTTACATGGAAGAAACTCATGAGACAGCAACTTAACGAAGTGATCAAACTAAATATCATTAGTAAGATCTAGCCTCATGATGAAACCCTATATATATATAATGGACCTAAAAGTATACAGCACACCTTCTATGATATTCTTGCCAAAATGTATAACTTCATATCAACCATGAGAAAGTATCAGACAAACCAAATGGAGGAGCGTAATTCACAACAATTGATCAATCCTCAAAAGTGTCAAGGTCATGCAAAACAAATATCTGAGAAATTGTCAAAGTTTTGAAGAGATTGCTAAAAATTACTCAATGCAATGTGGAATCCTGCATAGTATCTTAAAAGAGAAGTACAACATTTTAATTTTTATATGAGGTTTGTAGTTTAATAATAAATATTATGTCAATATTAATTCCCTAAACTTGATAATTGCATTATAGCTACATAAGACATTGACATTTGTAGAGGTGAATTAATGACGACAAGGGAGCTCCACTTGATAATTTTTAACTTTTCTGTAGTTCTAAATGTTTTCCAAAACATTCAAACTTCTGATATATCAGTCACATTTCAGAGAATAGATGCAGTTTTCAGATAGAACAGCTAATCTTCAGATAATAAATTTTAAATAAAAAGTCCCACGCTACTTCCACAACCCTCATCCACAGTATTTATCAATGGAGGAAAATATATGTGTTCCTTTGAATATAGCAGTAGTTCTCAAAATGTGGATTGATTTGAGAGCAGTCGCTCTCAAAAATTTAAGAAATTCTGAGGATTATTGAGACTCTTTCAGGGCTCTATAGGGTTAAAACTATCTTCCTGAAAATAAAATAATATTTTTATTTTATTTCTAATTTTCTAAAGAGCATACAGTGGAGTCTACCAGAGGCTACATAACATGTGATATCCCAAAGGAATAAATACATGAGCAGATAGAAGGATTCAGCTGTCTTCTAATTAAATTAGTCATTAAGGAGATTTGAAAAAATAAATGAGTCCAGTTTTTTTCCTTATTTTTATTGGTTTGTAAATTACAGTTATTTTTCATAAAATATTATCTCGTTAGCATATGATGTTTTCTTTTTACTTCTATTTTGAAATGAAGAAATAGCTTCAGTTTGCTCAGTTTTAATTTCTAATACTGTAATTATTGATCTATGTAACCTATGTAAATAAAAGCCTCTCTAGATCCTCAATAATTTTTTAAAGAGTTCAAAGTGGGCCTGAGATAGTTAGAGAACTTCTGACACATGTCACAGCATATATGTTATACCAGAGGATCTAATTCTAGCTGCATATAAGAGTCACCTAGTGAGCTTTTAAAAAGAAACTGTAGATAGGCGCCATCCACATAACCTGATTTAGCAAGATTGGGATTGGGCTTCAGCATCAGTAAGTTTAAAAACTCCTCATGTTATTCTAATAAACACTCAAAGCTGTAAACTCTTTAACTTTGAAAATATGTATTAATATGTTGAATTTTATTTTTCATTTCTTGTTTGTATAAGCTAAATAAGCTCAATGATGCTCCTAGTTGCCTAAGCATAGTGAAAGTAGATAAATATCATGTTTAATTTGCACAGCCAATTTTATTCACAATTATACAGAGAATATTTATGGGAGACTTTGAAAATATAAAAGGTAGGGGTGGAAGGATTTGTGGTTAAAAAAAATGAATGTGGAAGAGAATGCATAGTTTAAACCCTGATGCTGAGCAGGGATAAGAATGGTGATGAGAAAGATAGATGAAATAGAGAATCAATTATGTATTTGGCACCTGAGGATAACTGAGATCACTGGAAAGACAGAGTAATGTCTTAACACAGTTTTTACTGTCAATGGTTGATAGAGCAGATACATTTTAACAAGCTTGAGGATTTTCTCCCAATAATCTCTGCAATTTTTCTAAAATAAAAAAAATTCTCAAGTTGCATCATACATATTGTTATCTGAGGATTTATGCCACTTGAAAATGAAATGTGAAATTCAGTTTTAAAGAATAGTTGAGTCTTACATGGTGATTTTAAAACTAAAATGTATGAGATATAGCCAAAACAAGTGTACAGTTTAGATATTTATCATACTATATACCTATTATTAATTTATCTTTTTACTAGTAGCAACATATTAGTTGCCTACTTAGCAAAAACTGATAATATATTCCATACAAGAGAGTTACAAACTCCCAAAATGATACATTGCCAAAATTACTCTCTAAAGATTAAGGAAAGCTTTGGTTCGCATGTGTTTCCAGAAAAGCATGAAAAGCATGTGTTGGAAACTTAATTAAGACAGTATTGGAAGGTCAGGCCAAATGAAAGGTAATTAGACCATGAGTACTCTGTCCTCATGAAAGAATTAATGCCACTATCTACAGAGAGAGTTCATTGTCACAGAAGCAGTTTCCTTATAAAAGGACGCTTGACCCCCTTTTGTCTCTTTCTCTTCCCCTCTTTTTGCCCTTCTGCCATAGGTTGATGCAGCAAGGAGGCCCTTGCAAGACGCTGGTCCCTCAATCTTGGACTTCCTAGCTTCCAGAACCATGAGCCAATAAACTTCTCTTCATTGTGAAATACCCAGTCTGTGGTATTCTGTTACAGCAGCATATTCAGTGTAAGACAAGAATAATAATGCCCCCTCTCCTTTGACAAACTTTAACTTCAGATGTTAATAAAAATATAAGAAATTTTAACAGCATTATGTCTCTTGCTATTTCACTAGGTTAATTTTAAATTTGAGGAATAGCTTAAAATCCAAATCTTATTTTATGCAGATTATTTACTATCTTAGTATTCTTAGTTTAGACTTCTTTTAGATAATATTTATTATTTTGGTATGGGAATCATAAAAATTGAACATAAAATTTATTTGAATTACCAGACCCATCTTCATAAATTGTGTATCTGTTGTGCAGTCTCTAAGAAAAATAAAACTATATCACCTGGCATTTCTTAGCAACGCCATGGTTAATGGACCTGGTGAATAATTTTTGTCATGGATTCACAGAAAAAAATAAGCAGGTTAGTACATCGTTGATTTTAGATATTATGCCATAGATGGCATTGGTTGGGTTAATGACCAACTTAAATGACTGCAAACTTTTGTAAAGACTTTTATTTTTACTTTTTATTTTATGAAAATGACATTTAACCTGCTATAGTGAATTATAGCATTAATGCAGGGATTCCTCAGATCTATGCTGACAAAAGTTAATCTCCACCACCTTCCCAAAACAAAAAGAAAACTCATTGAGAATGGAAAGAGTACGGATATGCTTATGCTTTGTGTCCCCACCCAAATCTCATCAACATGCGGGAGGTTTCCTCCATGCTGTTCTCATGATAGTGAGTGAGTTTTCATGACATCTGATGGTTTTATAAGGGGTTCTTCCCTCTTTGCTCAGCACTTCTCCTTCCTGCGGCCTTTTGAGGAAGGTGTCTTGCTTTCCCTTTGCCTTCTGCCATAATTGTAAGTTTCCTGAGGCCTCCCTAGCCATGCTGAACTGTGAGTCCATTAAACCTCTTTCCTTTATAAATTACCCAGCCTCAGGTAGTTCTTTATAGCAGTATGAAAATAGACTAATACAAGTACTATGAGTACAGGGCTCCTATTCAACTTTATGATATCTGTCTATCTACATATCTATAATCTATTAATCTACAGTTGCCCTTTATTTATATAAATCCACTATATATTTAAGAGTTCTTCCTGTGTCCATGTGTTCTCATTGTTCAATTCCCACCTATGAGTGAGAACATGCAGTGTTTGGTTCATGTACCCTAAAACTTAAAGTATAATAATAATAATAATAATAAAAGAGTTCTGAGTATTTTTTTTAATGCTTGGTAGTTTTCCGTAGAAATTTGTCTCATTGTTACTGTGAAAGTTTTCAATGTATTTTCTATTTGTAGTCACAGTTATTTAATGATATTACCTTTCTTTCACCTACTAAATACAATCCAGGATTAGGAAATAATTTGAACTCTACCTTAAAAATCCATTGAGGATAAAGGGGAAATATCCATTTCTATAAGTGGCCATGTGAACATTTTTCCCCTTTGTTCGTTTGTCCATTTCTTAGGCAAATTTATAAAAATAAAACAGTGTGGGAGCCTAGTCAATCCTGATATCTGAGAAATGCTTTCCCAACAATTATGGAATTCCTGTGCTCACTGTTACAAGTTACTTTTATAAATAAGTATTCTTGTTATAATTTGTTATAATTTTCATCTGTTGTGTGAGTTGTACGTCTTGTTCATTGAAGAATCTGATGATTTCCTACCACTTGGCTGCTAACACTGATGTGAACACCCATAGCTTCTTAACTGATCTCTTTTTTTTTTTTTTCAGCTTTGCAGGGGAATCTTTATAAAAGTAAATCAGTTGTCAATTTTTAGGTCAAAGCTCTACAATAACTTCCCAATTCAAAGCAAATACCAAAGTACTTTAAAAGGCCTCAGAGTCTCATAGGATCTGACCTCCCTTTATCCTTCTGGTTTACACTTCACTACCTCCTCATCTCTCCCTTTTCTCTGGTCCCACAGGACTTAAAGATGTTCCTCAAATTCACCGCGAAAGCTTCTATATTGGTGTGATTGAAGTTGTTAAAACTTCTGCCTGAAAATCTCCCTCATAACACAACAACCAGAAAAAGGTTTTTTCCTGTGTTTCGTCAAATGAAACCTTCTCATTAGTGGTTCTTGGAATTTTCAAAATTGTATCTTTCCTCCCTATAATCCTTACGTGCTTGCCTCCTAATTTTGCATCTTATAATCATCTACCATGGCATGTATTTTTATCTTTGTTATTGTCTATAACCTGCAGTAGAATGCAAGCTCCATAAAGAAAATAATTTTTGTTTGCTAGATTCCTTATTTTATGCTCAGCTCCTAAACAGTGAACCAGAAATATTTTAAAAGAAGAAATTAAAATGCATTCATGGTTGTTATTTTATTGTCAACTTGAACTATATTTTAAAATAAGTAATATACTCCTATTTGGAGTAACAAAAGGAATTCTGAATGCAGTTTACCACATTTTGAACTTTTTCTTACTATTTATTTATATGCTAGAAAATAAGGATGTGCATCTCTGTACTTTCAATTTGAAAGCTATTTTTTTATTTACAATAAAACCAAAAGAGATACATTTTTGAGCCTACAAAAAGAAGCAATTATTTGCTTTAATGAATCCAGGTGTTTAGTTGAAGTGACTATCATTAGGTCACTCGGGGGTAATCTTCAAATTGCCATCACCACACACATTTTTACATCCCAAAGATTTTAAATTTTTGTCACAAATTATAAAGCATTTTTGTAGTACTTTTTAAACTTCAAAGTATTCTTTCAACACATAACTTCTATCTTGTGAAGTCTTTTAAAAATATTAATAGGCCAGGCGCAGTGGCTCACGCCTGTAATTCCAGCACTTTGGGAGGCCAAGGCGGGCAGATCACAAGGTCAGGGATCAAGACCATCCTGGCCAACATGGTGAAACTCCGTCTCTACTAAAAATACAAAAATTACCTGGGCGTGGTGGTGGGCACCTGTAGTCCCAGCTACTCAGGAGGCTGAGGCAGGAGAATCACTTGAACCCGGGAGGTGGAGGTTTGCAGTGAGCCAAGATCGTGCCACTGCACTCCAGCCTCGGGACACAGTGAGACTCCGTCTCAAAAAAAAAAAAAAAAAAAAAAAAAGAATATCTTAATTCTTCACCACTTTGTAGAAACAAGAATGCTTAGATAATAAATAGATACAAGCTTAACTGACTTACCAAATATTTAACAGAAAAATTTCTATAACGTTCTTATTCTGGTAGAAGGTTTGGCAAACTATTGCTCGTGGACCATATCTAATCTGTCACCTTTTTTGTTAAAAATGTTTTACTGGAAAATAGACCCATTTTTTATGTATTGTCTATGGCTTCTTTTGTATCACATGGTAGAGTTAACTAGTTGCAACAGAGAAATAAGGCTTGCAAAGCTGAGTAATATTTACAAGGAAAGTTTTCCAACCTCTACACTAGTAGACGATAAGGGTCCAGTTCTGTGAAATGGAAAGGACAAAAACTCTGTAACTACCTTGATCCTTCTGGAACATTAAAGTCAGTTACCGTAAGCCATATTTGCAAATATGACAGATCAAGTTAGTCAAACAGTAAAACTGAGAGTTATCATAAAGAATGCAATATAATTTTGATAAAGATTAGATACCAATGCTATGTTGGGATAAACAAATGTGGTAAAGGTGGATTTTAACAAACACATAAAAAAGTATCAGGTCAAATAGCCACTCAGTTGTGTCATGGCTTGCTATTTGTCAAGGAATACAACCTATTCTACTTAAATGCCCCTCCAGTTCTACATCCAAAATGTTTTTTCCAAAGTTTTTATCAAAGTACACTAATGCTTAAAAGCATCCTGTGCCTAATGTAGAGATCTATTGAATACTATGCTTATCCTCAGTTTTAAGAATTTCCTCAGCAGTCAGGCTCGCCACATAAGAATGAAGAGTAACAACCATGGCCCTGATTGTTAGAAACAAATTTTGATTCTGGTCACTTTAGGCTCACAGCTGGGGTAGGTAGTAAGTAAAATATATAGTTACCACTTAGAGGAAGAAATGGAAAATTATTCAAAAAATACAAATAAATAAAACAAGATGAAGCAAACAAAAAAAACTGGAATAAACATACAATTGAGTTCAGTAAAGGATAAGTTATCTAAACTCCAGGGAAAAATTAGAAGGATGTGGGAGGCACAGAATATTCAAGTGTTACTCTCTAAGTGTACTACCCATTTCTTTATAAGAAATCACTATACAATTCACTGTCTGCAGCTGATCCCAATATTTTATTAAATCATAAATCTGCAGTTTTGTCGGGTTTGTGGGAGAAAGACCTATTTCTGCTTTATGTGACATCACTTGGGGTGTCGCAAAGGACAGCTGAAAGATAGACTTGTTTGCTTGCTCACTTACATGTCTAATGGATTGCTGGGGTCCCTCAGCTGAGAACTCACTAAAGGGCTGTCAGAAGAACGCCTCCGTGTGGCTACATGGCTTCTTCAAAGCATGTTGGCTGAGTTCCAAAAGCAAGCTTCCTAAGAGAGTCAGGAAGCGCTATATTGTTTTTAGCTCCAGAAATCATGTTTTAGCACTTCTGCCACAGTTCAAGGGAGAGGTACACATATTCTACCATTTGACGGTACAGTAGCAAATTTCTAAAAAGAACACAAGAAGAAACTAGGTGTATTTTTAAAACTACTTAGGGGAAATGCAGATGCTTCTTGACTCATGATGGGATTACATCCTGATAAACTGATTATAAATTGAAAATATTGTAAGTTGAAAATATATTTAATACACCTAACCTACTGAACATTATATCCTAGCTTAACTTAACTTAAACATGCTCGGAACACTTACATCAGCCTACAAGTGGGCAAAATTATTTAAGAAAAAGCCTATTTTATGATAAAGTGTTGAATATTACTTATAACTGACAGAATATTGTACTAAGAGTAAAAAACATATTAGTTGTATGGGTACCCAAAATACGATTTCTACTGAATGTGTGTCAATTTTGCACCATCATAAATGTCAAAAAGCATCAGTTGAACCAGTGTGATATCATCTGTTTAATCTGCCATACTGAGGGTAAAACATTATTTTAAACAATATTTATGCCATTACTTACTTTCAAATCTTGTTGACATAGGAAACATTGAATATGCTTTGTATTATATTGCGTCTTATATAAAAATAATTCTAGAAAAAAAACGTGGGAAGAAACTCATGCAAGTGAACTGAAAGTGTTCTAGGCGTCAAGTTAATTGCTTTTATTTAATTATAGTATTTACTTTGCAATATGAATGAAAAAATGAAGTGAATAAAATGACTCAGAGAGTTTAATTTGCTGATGTTCATTATATACCTAGTGTATTATTGTTACAGAGATGAGAGTGATTGTTGAATAGCAACAGAATAAATCAAAGTATGTAAGTTCTTTTGTAGTTAGTGAGAGTACAGCTTCCTGTTAGCAGATGGCTGGGTACACAAAGGAGTGACTTGGTGGCATTTTCCTGATAATTGCTTTTGTGGTCTTCACTTCCTAATGAAGAATCCTTGATGCCAAATGTAACATCTGATTGAAATCCTAGAGGATGATCCCTGTTCTACTATCATGAGTGTTTTATAACTTCTTAATCCTTCTCAATGGTTTCGGAAACACTGGTTGAATGCTGGCCAGCCCTCTAGGTAGGTGAAAGTGCTAGCTGATTCATTGTACCACTGAGTACTTAGGGAGAGACTGGATGAATCAAAAGTCAAGGTCCCTTTTTATCACTTTCCTACCAGGTTCAGGTTTACTGAAATTCATTCTTTCATTATAGCCAAGTATTCACTCACACAAAAAAAACACTAATAAACACTAAAAACATAAATTTATTAGTTCACTGTTATTTAAATTCCTGCTTAATTGTAGTGAAAAACCTCAGGAAGTTAAAAGGGGGGACATGGTGATAATGATTATGCGAGAACTGATAATACCTGTAATTGTTTGTTTAAAATACAAATTACAAATATAACGCAATCAATAAAAACATAAAAAGAGGAAGAATAGGGGTTGTCATGAAAGTAAATTATGCTACAATTTTGAACATATTGTATTTGATTTTTTTTGTAGGTAATGGGATTTGGCAAAGGGTCTAGGTAATAGCACATACATAATACTTGAAGCACTAAGAATGCATGGGGTCACTCTATTCTTAGTTTACATCAACAGCTCTTCAATTCCATTGAGAAAGTATATGTCTGTTTTACTTTAGATAGTCTACCTAGTTTTACCAGAAACATACATATGCAAAACTCATTTTGGTCAATATCATAGTTTACCCCGTGTCTTCCTCATTCACAGGATATCCTCACTTTTCTGTGGTAATTTGCTTGTCAAATCTTAGTGCGTGACTGAGACCCTTGGGAATCACTTTGTCTTTAGTCTCTTAGGGAGGTAACATGGAATACTATTCCAAGAAAACCAGTAACACCATGCAGACATTTTAAAAAATAAATGAATTATTTGAGGGAAAAAAATCAAATCACACTGTTGAATTTCTCATATGTGTATATTAGAGTCAAAAGGAATAATGGAAGGTGTTAAATTTTATGAGTATGGAGGTGGTATAATGTTTACCACCTGCTCTTGAAGCCAACCTTTTCTATTGCACAGGATATTCAGTAAATCATTATCCATGTGCAGCTATACATGGCACATAAGTTTGAGGGAGGAAAGAGTTTGCTCTGATACAGTAAATCCTAAATAACAATTTTGAATATTGAAAATGAAACATTTCTGTAAAAACAAAAGAGTTACATACATTGTCAGCAATCTCATTCTTTCTGAGGAAAATAAAGGGATATTTCTAGCTATGAATGTAAATGTACATTAAATGCATACTGAGTGATAAATAGTTGAAATAAAATTAAATAATTGCCAGGGTAAAAAGAGTGAAATGATATGACTACAATGGCATGCTTCTCCTTGAGTAAACTTTTACAGCTGAATTATGAGTACAATAAAATGGACATATTTATTAACTCCATTTTTGCTAGAGGCAGTACATATTAAAATATTAGTTCCACTTACTTTTCAATGTCATGCTCATATCCTTTATAACTTAAAGGAGATTTATGGATTTGTTGGAGGTTTTGTTTATCTAGGTATATGACTTGCTAATTTTGTTAGATAAAGACCTGCAGAAACTGAGAAACTGATCCAATTGTGCAAATATTCAGAATTTTTATTAGGGTGCCAAGTATAATAAACTATATGTCTACATTCTTTGATCTGTTTCTGAGAAGATGGTTTAAAAAAATGGACTGTCACTAAATATTTCAGTTTATCTCCATGGATCTCAATGAAATCAAATCATGTAATAAAGGCTGAAACTTCATCTTGCAGCGTAATATTCTCCTGTCACATTTTATTAAAATGACAAGGTTTAAACCATAATTCTTCTGTGCAGGTTTGTTTCTCATTATTCACAGTTATTCTTTTGTCCTTAAGATTTCTAGTTTAGAAATACTATTCAAAATTTAAGACAATAAGTAAAGCTCTCACAATTACAGAAAGGTAGATTTTGTTTGCTACTGAATAATTTATATTTATAGGAAAAACCTTCCCTTTCTCCCAAATACTGATTGTGTGTGTGTGTGTGTATATATATATATGTGTGTGTACATACATATAGTATACTTAGAAACAACGCAAAATCTTACTATTTGAATGTTATATTACATGATAAACATGAATATTTAAAGTGTATCTTATTTATAATAATGAAAATACATTAAATTTTAAACATCTCATATTAGATTCTCTCAAGAATTTGCATGATGGTTAAGTTTTTTCTCTAGTTATTTAGGAGTTAGCAGCCACATCTTCGTAAAAATTTAAATGAATCAGCTTGTCTCCATAAAAATAAATAAACTAGTTATTAGTTTTACTACGAGAGCATTATTTATATACATAATCAGAGAAAATTTTGAGCATGAATTTCTTACAAAAATAATTCAAATGTATTAAAGCAAACCTTGTCAAGGAAGCACAGTGAGGGGTGACTAGCCTGACCTAATTATGAAATTTTTTGTGTGTTATGATGGAGTCTCACTCTGTCACCAGGCTGGAGTACAGTGGCGTGATCTCGGCTCACCGCAACTTCCACCTCCTGGGTTCCAGTGATTCTCCTGTCTCAGCCTCCCAAATAGATGAGACTACAGTCATGCACCACCACGCTCAGGTAATTTTTGTATTTTAACAGAGATGGGGTTTCACCATGTTGGTCAGGCTGGTCTCGAACTCCTAACCTCATAATCCACCCACCTCGGCCTTCCAAAGTGCTGGGATTACAGGCTTGAGCCACCGCACCCACCCTATAAAAATTTTTAAAGCCTCAAAGATTGAAAAGAAAAATATAACACTGTAAAACGACTAAATTGATTAACAATAAAAGAGACCAGAAAGTCTAGAAATTGACTCAAATACATATGGAAACTTATTCTATGAAAAAAAAAAGGCCACTCAATCAGTGATCTAAATTCTATATTTAATAAAATTGTTTAGACAACTGAGTTGTCATTTTATCATTGACATAAGCATAAACCCATACTTATAGTGGTAACCAGGACAAATTCAAAGTATACATGTTATATGTAAAAAATAACATGAGTTTATTAGAACAAATCATGATAAAATTGCTTTATCATCATCACATGAGAAATGCCTTTTTAAATATGGACTTCTATCAGGTAACCACAAAAGAAAGTTTAATAAATGTAACTACATAAGGCTTAGAAAAAGAATGACCAGCCTTAGAAAAATACTTGCTAAATTTTTGCCATATGAGTTAAATTCCCTAACATATATAGACTAAAATTTAGTATCAAATAGATCAAAACACGGTAGAAAAATGTGTAAATGCTATAAGGAAGTAATTCACAGAAAGGGCAACACAACATTTTTCTTAAAGAGATGAATTTAAGAGTGGATTATCAGATGGTAAACAAAAATTAAAGCTACATGGAGGTGCAATTTTCATTATCAACCAAGCATTGTCAGGTATTGAGAGTAGTATATTAAAATTTTAAAAGCTGCAGATGAAAAAATTATAAATGTACCTTAAAAGCGTATATATATACAGCTCGAAGGAGCTTGCCTCAATTCAAATAAAATTTTGCTCAAATCTAGATTTTTTCTGGTATGTTTTCATTTTAGGAATTATTAGTATTTTAAAAAGTGCAAAAAAGAAAGGTAAGTTATATGTAAAAGAAAATGAGTCGTATGACAAGCTGGCCTCGAAAACCCCCTTCTGTATCATACTACATGTCTGATGACAGAAGACAATATATTTTTAAGTTAAGAAAGATTTGTCAAGATATAATTTCCAAGTAGTAAAATTTTACAAATTTTAAGTGTACAGTTGTATTGATTCTAAAAATATGTAAGCTATATGTAATGTAGATTTATCTTTCCTTCTCCCTCAATATTTTCACTTTCACTTACATTCATTTTCCTCCCTCAACCTCTGGATCCTGAAAATCATTGATCTTTATTCTGTCACTGTAATTTTGCCTCTGTTACGGTGTCATAGAAATGGAATCATACACAACATTGTCTTTTCTGTCTGTCTCCTTTCATTTAGCCTATTTTTTTAGATTAACCCATATATCTGATTTAAAATATTTCATTCTGGGGCATTCCAAAATAGTTTATTCAGTCACCATTAGACACACATCTATTTTTATTTTTAGGTTATTAAAAAATTACTGTGGACATTCAAGTATATTTTGTGTGTCTATCTGCAGTATATGAGAGTTCTCATTTCTCAACTCAACATCATCGCCAATGCATGATATTGTTATTTGAAATGTAACTTTTCCAGTGATTATGTAGAGGTATTAGACTGTTAATTTTCATTTCTTTAATGACAAATGATGTTGACACATTTTTCATGGTTGCGTTTACCATAAAATTGCACACACACACATATTATTTGGTGAATTGTCTTTGTCTATTTAATCAAGTGGTTTGTCTTTTATTTGTTGAATGCTAATAGTTTTTACTTATGTATTTGATTTGAAAGTACTTTCTCCCAGTTTGTTAGGTTGCCTTTTTAACTTACTGTCAGTGTCTTTGGATGAAAAAAAGTTTTAATTTTAATGAAGGCTAATGTTTTTGTATGTTATTATTTGTGCTTTTATGCCCTATGTAAGATCTTTGCCAAATTCAAGTTGGATTACCCCCCAGGATTGCTGCAAAAGGCTTTCTGATTTTAGCACTTACATGTAATCCTATGATGCATTTCAAATTAAGTTTTTATAAGGTGTGAAGAAAAGGTAAAGATTGTTTTAAAGTATAAGTATCTAATTCTTCAAGAAAAAATGTCGAAAACACTGCCCTTTTCGATAAAAACACTTGACATCTTTGACAAAAATCAGCTGGTCACATTCAAGTACGTAATCACGTATGGGTATTATGACACTCTATTTTTTTCATGAATCTATATGTCCAACCCTATTCTACACTATCTTGATTGCTGTATACTTCCAGTAAGTTTTAAGATTGCAAAATGTAAGTGCTTCAACATTGTTCTTCCTTTTAAAAAATGATTCAGTGCCAGGTTCAGTGGCTCATGCCTGTAATCACAGTTCTTTGGGAGGGCAAGGCGGGAGGATTGCTTGATGCCAGAAGTTTGAGACCAAGCTGGTCAATATAATGAGACCCTTTCTCTACAATTTTTTTTTTTTTAATAGCCAGGTATGGTGTCACTCACCTGTAGTTCCTGCTACTCAGGAGTCAGAGGTGGAGGATTGCTTGAGTCTGGGAGGTGGAGGCTGTAAGTAGCTGTGATCACACCACTGCGCTTCAGCCTGGGCAACAGAACAAGAACCTGTCTCAAAAAATTAAAATTAAAAATGAAAACAAATAAAAATAAAAATTATTTAGCATAATATAAGCTATTTGCATTTTCATATAAGTTATAAATTTAGTGTTCAATTTTATCAAACAAAATATTGGGATTCCAGTTGGGAGTGCATTAAATCTAGTGTCATTAGGGGAACAATTGACATTTTAATATCTGGAGGCTCCTCACAGATGAACATAGTGTGTATCTCCATTCATTCAGGTTTTCTGAATATATTTTAGAAACATTTTGGTTGTATAGGTGTTACACATACATTACCAAAGTTTTCCCTCAATATTTTATATTTCTGATAGTCTTGTAAATAGTGCTATTCTCAACTACAAATTTCCCCTTGTTTGTTGAAAGTACATAGAAGTAAAGTTTTTAATAAATAATACATTAATCTTGCATTCTGTAGAAGTTAAACTCACTTCTTAATTCTAACAGAATGTTTGTAAAGTATTTATAATTTTCTACATAGATGGCCTGTTATTTGTGAAAAAAAAAGTTTTCATTTTCCTCCTTCTTTCTAATCTTTATGTCATGTAGTCATTTTTTCCCATCTTATTTCATTGGCTCGGATCTCTCCCACATTGTACAATAAAAAACAATGGCAGCAGATCTCCTGTCTGTGTTACTGAACACATCAGAAATCCATCTGTCTTTAGTATTAACTACATCTTAGCTTTTCATTTATTTTTCACAAATGCCTTTATCAAGTTGAGGGAGTCCCCTTCTCTTTCTAATACACCAAATAATTAAGTGTTTAATTTTACAGATGATTTTTCTGCAAGTATTAAAATGACAGTGTTTGTTTAAAGTCTCTTTATATTGTGAATTATGATAATTTTGGGATAGTAAATATTGTATTATTTGAATGAACAACATTTATTCACAACATATTTTATCCTTTATAATTTACTGCATTCGGTGCCAGGTGCACAATTCGTTGGGCCCAGTGCAAAATGAAAATATAGGCCCCTCGTTCACAAAGAAAATAAAGAGTGCCATTAATGGTACTAATTTATACAGCTTTCCCTTTCTTCCACTTCTTTCTCTTTTTAATTTTTTTTTTAGCTTTTAAGTTCAGGAATACAAGTGCAGGTTTTTCACATAAGTAAACGTGTGTCATGGGGGTTTGTTGTACAGATTATTTCATCACTCATGTATTAAGCTTAGTACCCATTAGCTATTTCTAAATATACTAATGATGTTTTCGTTTGCCATTTAATGCTATTCTATGTAAAGAAAAAGCAAAATTTTATAATTTTAGAATGACTTTTAGCATTCATTCATATACTGTTCAACACCAGTTTTAAATGCAGAGGTAACAGCATTTAACTCCAATGTGGGATCACCAAAAATACAAAGATCATAATATGTGGATCATACTTATTTTATTCTTAACTGAAAAATGGAAACACTGAAAAAATCTAATTCAACTATTATTATTTTGCTTCTTGATTGTATGCACACTATTAAGACTCTCATTAGCTTACTGATGAGTTGGATAAACAGGGGGAAAAATCTGTAGATTGCTTTTTTTTCCACTTTACTTTTATGTCATGATTTTCAGCATAATTGGTTGGCCAATACAGAAATGTTCACATGGCAAATGCAGCTTCTTTGGTTTGTCAGTGCCCTTGCCTAATCAGTCATACCTAGTAATGGAAAGAGCACACATTTCTCATGGCCTTGATGCATGATTTTTCAGGAAGACTCTGAGTGTGCGCAAGGTAAGCCACCCTAAAATGTGTACCCTATGTCCACTTGGAGTCTCAATGAACTGCCATGCAGTGTGGGTTCACTAGCATCCTGAGTTCAAAGGGTACTGGAAATGGTGCCCTTGGGGCAGCATATAACCAAAACATGCATATTCTATCACTCTCTGCTCACAGGCATGTTCTTTGATCAAATCAGAGTTTGCTTACAAAGCACAAGTTTAAAGATACAATGAAGAATTTCAAGATGGTGACATGAGAGGATGCAACCAAGTATGGGATCTCTACAAATGTTGAACTCTAACTGCACAAGTCACAGGTCCATGGAGCTAGCCACGTTACACATGTGAGATATGCATGTGTTCGTGTATGTGTGTATGTGTGTGTGTATATGTATAAATATTTTTTTCGTATTTTGCAAATTAGTATATTATTATGAAGGGAAAAACATTCAAATATTTTGTCCCACCTATTATAAATAAAAAATTATAAACATCTTATTCTAGTTATATTTACTCTGTAATATATTCACATTTTTTATACATTTTCCATGGAATTTTCTCATTTAAGTATCTCCAGGGAATTACCGTCTTTTACAGGCTCAACTAGTTGCAGTTATTTTATTATTATTATTATCATGACATGTTATTATTACAACTATTGACATTTTCAAATATTAGATAGTGAGTCACTAAAGCCATCCCTTTTGTATGACACCTATTCCTGTGTCCATTTTGAGTCTCAGTGAATTGCCCATCATTATTTATAGAGTACATGTTTTCTAACAGTGTTACCAGAGTCAATCTTACATTCTCTTTGTAACCTAGGAACATAAAAGAATCAATGACATCCAAAGTGTCCCTTTGAGGGACAAGAGTTTAAAGGACATACTGAAAATGCTAGAGTGGTGATCACGGGAATCTAAAAGTAATAAAATTGCATAGAACTAAATACACACATACATACAAATGAATGCATGTAAAACTGATGAAATCTGAAATTAGTGAATTGTATCAATGTCAATTTCTTGGGAGTGATATTCTACAAAATATGCATGATCTTAACATATTGAGAAACTAGATGAAAGTATATGAGATCTCTTTGTTTTATTTCTTTCAATTGCATGTGAATCAACAGAAATCTCAAAATATTTTTTTTTCTTAAAGGATGAGCATCCTTAGCACAAATCACCCGAAGTTTGTATAACAGTGACATTCAAAGAGGTATTCTTTCTAATATTCTATGCAGGATCAACAACTTTTTTTTCATTTTTTCTCAGCTTTAATGAAGAAAAGACACCATGTTCCTTATTTCTTCACCTCTTTTTAACACACCATCAAAGTGTGAAAATACTAATCTTGGATTCTAGCCTTATATAATTTTATTTTTACATAATATGTTACCTTTAATTTTCAAATGCTACCTATGATGTTTGTATTCTGTTTTCACCTGGATTGGTAAATGAAATCCTTAGATTTAAATAGTTACAATAACCTACTTAGACGAAAGACAAACCTGCAAAGACAAAATTTTACCTTATTTTGATGCCAGATTGAATAAAATCCAAGCTCCTAAAATTGTATACCCCTAAGGACGAATTAATCTTATGTTTGACATACAAAGATAGAGCAGGAACACTTTTTTGAATCCTGCAATGATGACAGGTATAACTCAGGGTTTAGAAATTTGCAGAATAACCAGATGTATTTGCCACTTTTCAAAAGAGATCCTAAGGCATTGCTGTATCTATAACTTCTATAGGGATGTAAAATTTTCTGGTCAGCAGTTTCAAGAATATCATTTACTTAGGAGTGGTTCATATTACCTCATAGTAGCTGTGATGTGGAAGTTAGCCAGAAGCAGGGTGATAAAAGTGAAAGAGGTAATTATCTAGAGAACTAAAGTATAATATGCACTTGTGAAAAGATGAAAGAAAATGACTAGATGCTTGCTTCAAATAAAGAGGTGACATTATAAGTCCAAGGGAAGAAGCAGTAATGTATTGTTTTTTTTTTTTTTTTTTTTTTTTTTTTTTTTTGAGACGGAGTCTCGCTCTGTCGCCCAGACTGGAGTGCAGTGGCGGGATCTCGGCTCACTGCAAGCTCTGCCTCCCGGGTTCACGCCATTCTCCTGCCTCAGCCTCCCAAGTAGCTGGGACTACAGGCGCCCGCCACTACGCCCGGCTAATTTTTTGTATTTTTAGTAGAGACGGGGTTTCACCGTTTTAGCCAGGATGGTCTCGATCTCCTGACCTCGTGATCCGCCCGCCTCGGCCTCCCAAAGTGCTGGGATTACAGGCGTGAGCCACCGCGCCCGGCCAGTAATGTATTGTTTTATAGCTTATATATATGCACCATAAAGAGAAAATAGTGTGATACTTGGTAATGAGAGAAAGAGGATCTGCAGGAAGTCGGCTTTAGACATTTTAAGAAAGCCTCTTTAAATTGGCCAATGACTTCTGCAAGGACAAATTTTTTACACCAGATATATATCAGAGAACAGACTTCATCCCTTAGTAACATCGTAATCCAAGGATAATGTCTATCAATATTCCCACATTTGCATAATTAGGAGTGATGATTTTTTTTTTTTTCTCTAGTTGAACTATGATCTGGAAACATGGGTGAGACTAGCATTTTAATTACTCCTTATTGGGGACATATCTGTAATGTTGATAGTATAAAGATCCATTCTTTTTTCATTTTACAATTATAAGTAATTTGTGGGGGAAATTCTTATAGACTCTGAATTTGTGGCTCCCATTGCTGTAGACAGAGTATTTTCCAAAGATTCGTGGAACAGTATGTCTGCTTTCAAATGCTCCTTTATAATGTGCCCTTGCTGCTCTCCTATCAATAGGTAAAATCTAATTTCCTTCTCCATAAATCTGTGTGGGTTTCTGGCTGCTTTGACCAATAGATTGCAGTGTTGGTGCCACTGTGTCACTCCCAAATCTGAGTTAAGATATTTTTTCTCATGTTTGTTGGAACTGGCATGCTTAGAATGCTGAACTACCGTGTAAGAGGTTTGACTTCCTGAGGCCACTTGCTATGTGGAAGCCAAGCAACACTGAGAGACTACATGAGGCCCCAGTGTTACTACAAAATTTTCATAGGTATGTGATGGCATCACATTGTGATTTTAATTTGTATGTCTCCAATGATAGATAACATTGAGTATCTTTTCATATGCTAAGATGTTATCTGTATATCTATGCTAAGTGTTTAAATCATCTACCTGTTTATTTCATTTGGGCTGTTTCCTTATTATTAAAAATGGAGATTTCTTTACGTATTCTGAATGTAATTTCATTATCAGATATATACTTGCAAATATCTTTCCCAGTCTTAACTTGTTATTTCACTCTCTTAACAGTATCTTTCAAAAAGCAGATGTTCTTAATTTTAATAAAATTCATTGTGTAAATTCAACCACCTTTTATGGATTGTGGTTTTAATATGGAACTTAAGTATCCTTTCACTGATTTTTTTTCTATGGTTTTGTCCATGAGTTTCATAATGTTAAGTTTTATATTTAGGGTCATGATCCGTTGTGAGTTTTTTTGGCATACAATATAACATATGGATTGAGATTCATTGTTTTTGCATATGGATGTACAGTTGTTCCAGTTCCATTTGTTAAGAATATATATTTCTCTACTGAATCACCTTTGTAACCCTGTTGAAAATCAAGTGAACATATGTAAATTGTCTATTTTTAGACTCAGTATTCTGATCTATAGTGTGGTGTGTCTAAATGGATGACTGTAACACAGTATCTTGAATACAGCAGCCACACAATAACTGCTGTACATAGAGTTTCTTCTCTTATTTTTCAAAACTGTTTTGGTCACCCTCGTGACCTTTTATTTCCAAATAAATTTTAGAGTTATATTGCCAATTTCTACAAACAAACTGGCTTGTCTTTTGGTTAGCATTGCATTAGATAGATTGGGGAACAAGTAGTATCTTAAAATATTGAGTTTTCCAGGCCATGACATTGTGAATTTATCTTGTGGTTGATATTTGTGTATTTCTATAAATATCACTTGATATTTGGGGGAACAAAATTAAGTTACTGAAAATGTTTTGCTCCTTTACAATCTCGGTTTGTGAGCTGAAATAACAGCAGTTTTTATTTTAGGGTTAATTTCGCCTCACTACTGAGGCAGACTCTTCTAGGTTCTCTACTCAGAGTCCATTATTTGTATGTGTATTCTTTTTTTTTAATTGAGGGAAATAGGCATTATTCCTTGTACTGTGTGAGCTTAGGGGTTTATCGTTTTTGTTACTTTTGGGTAGTTCTTTCTCATTTTCACCCAGTGCTCTTATAACCACAGTTTGATTAATATCTGGTGAAAACCTAAGATCTTCAGAATTCTCTCTCAGTTCAGCTCTGTCTGCTCAGTTAGGTTTCATTATCTCTAGCTGTTTTGCTCTCCACCTCCTTCCAGCTCTGTCTCCTCATCTCAGTGAGACGTACTGGCCCTGTCTGGGTTTTCCCTTCTCTTGTGGTTTAGCAACTTTTCTCCAGGCATTAAACTGAAGAAATCATAAGGTTACCTTATTTATTTCCCTTCTCTAAGTAATTATTTTCCTTCATTGATAAACAACTTATTGAGGAACATTATTCCTCTATGCGTGTGTGTGTGTGTTTGTGTATGGGTGTGTGTATAAATTATCTATCAGGTGTGAGAGTAAATCCAATTCTTGTTTCTCCATCTTGACTGAAAGTGGAAATAACTGGTTAATTTTGTTTAATGTTTGAAAATTTTTGTAAAGGTAGAATTCACAGGATTGAAGGTCAAAGAACAAGTAAAGGAAGAGGGAACAGGGACCTTATAGAGTCTTAAGACTAGTAAGCATTCCACAATCTTGTGGAGACAAAGTTTATCTCTTCATTATGTTGTTGTAGTATTGAATTCTAGGAATTGGCTTAGCTTTAATGATATGTACGAATGAGTATTATATCCTTTTATCAGAAAGAGCAAGAAATATGAAAGGAAAAATGGAAAATGAAGGAAAAGTAAGGGAAGGAAAGATAAGAGAGTTGCGGATAACAGAAGATAGGACCCACAACACAAGCTCACACAAGGACTCAAAAAATGGAACAGAATTAATACTTCAAAAGGAAATTCAAGTACTGCTACAAGAAAAAAAATCTGTATAAGGAACCAAAAAATTCCAGAAAAATTTACCATATCCTAATTTATTGAATGTGCTCATGGGAGATAGACATAGGAAACATAACAGTCATATATACACAGTTAATTTCATTATTAGCTCCTGAAATTTGCAACCCAGAGAAATATTATGTGGTACATATTTATTTCCAGATATTTTCTATGAAATTATCTTTTA
This sequence comes from Homo sapiens, assembly GCF_000001405.40. Taxonomy (NCBI): domain Eukaryota; kingdom Metazoa; phylum Chordata; class Mammalia; order Primates; family Hominidae; genus Homo; species Homo sapiens. Next base: position 26,108,052 of record NC_000005.10, on the reverse strand, counting down.
AGTTTAACAGAACTAAGTATTTTGTTACTGTTTTCTTTTTTGTATTTTGCTTTCTTTCATTCTTAATTTGGTGGTACATATTTTTATACTAAATACCATATGTCCATGATTTATTTTTAAAGAGATAAAAGGAAACTCAGTACATTATTATTTTTATTAGGTTAAATCTTTTTTTTCTTTTTCTAAAATTAATTTAGGTTCATAGAGTACATGTACAGGTTACATGGGTAATTTATTGCATGTAGCTGGGATTTGGTGTAGAGACAATTTTGTCACCCAAGTAATCTGCATAATACCCCACAGGGACAGTGATGGTTAATACTGAGTGCCAACTTGATTGGATTGAGGGATACTTAATCCTGGGTGTGTCTGTGTGGGTGTTGCCAAAAGAGATTTACATTTGAGTCAGTAGGCTGGGAAAGGCAGATCCACCCTTAATCTGGTGGGCAGAATCTGATGAGCTTCAGGCAAATATAAAGCAGGCAGAAAAACATGAAAAAGAGAGATGGGCCTAGCCTCCTAGCCTACATCTTTCTCCTATGCTGGATGCTTCCTGCCCTGGGACATCGGACTCCAAGTTCTTCAGTTGTAAGACTTGGAATGGCTTTCATTGCTCCTAAGCTTGCAGACAGCCTATTGTGGGACCTTGTGATTGTGTAACTTAATTGTTAATAAAGTCATGTATATACATATATATACACATACATACATGTATATATATAGATACATATATGTGTGTATATATGTATGTATATGTATACGTATATATATGTGTATACTGACTTTATTAAGATATATATGTGTATATATGACTTTATTACGTACTTATATACATACAACTAATAGGATATATATATATTCCTAACAAATAGGAATATATATAAATATATACACTAATAGGATATATATATTTATATATATACACACTAATAGGATATATATATATATATATATGTATATATATAAATACCTTTAAGAGAACCCTGACTAATGCAAATTTTAGTACCAGGAGTGGTTATAGAGGAACAGAATATTAAGGATGGAGTTCTTTCATTGGTATTGGGGTTTCTGGAGTTGGCTGCTTATATGATTAGACCCAAAAATGCTAAAGACTCTGCTTCTAATAGTGTGGAGAACACTGATAGTCCTTGGCAGAAACAGTTTAAAGAGTTACGCAAAATAAATGCATTTGACACTCCTGATTCACTGCTCTTAAGAGGCAAAGAGTTTGGTGACTCTATACATAATACCTTTGACCATATGTTGAGAACCAAGGACATAATGAAGCTGGTTGGTTGTTCTTAAGTTCAGTGGTGGACAAAGTGATGAAATAAAATGATGAACTCAGGGATTCTGTCTCCCGACTTCAGAAGCAGATACGAGCCTCAAGTCTGCTAGGGTTGCCCTGAGTGGGAGTCTTATCTCCTGTAGAGAAAGAGCTGAAATTGTGGAAACACAAACACAAGCTCTTATTATGTGAGTGACTGACCTGCAATGAAAGATGCATGTACAGCCTCACCAAGAGTCTACTGTTAAAATGAAAGCACTGATTGGAAAAGAATGGGAACATGCAGCTTGAAATGGGGATATGGAGGAGGACCCTGATGAAGCCAAGGACACTGAGTTTGTAAATTCTAATGAACCATTTTTGCCAGAAGGAACAGCTTCCCCATCCCCAGCAGTGGCAATGTCCCTTCCCTGATCCATGCTGCCATCAGTCATTAGAGCTGCCTATACCTAGAAAAATACTAAATCAAAAACAATATCATATCCCTGGAGGGATTGCAGAGATTAGTGCCACCATCAAGCACTTGAAAGACACCGAGGCAGTGATTCCCACCACATCCCTGTTCAACTCTCCCATTTGGCCTCTGCGGAACAGATGAACCTGGAAAATGATAGTGGATTATCGTAAGCTTAACAAAGTGGTGACTCCAATTTCAGCTGCTGTACCAGATGTGGTTTCATTGCTTGAGCAAATTAACACATCTCCTAGTATCTGTTATGCAGCCATTGACTTGGAAAATGCCTTTTTCTCCATTCCTGTCCATAAGGCCCACCAGAAGCAATTTGTCTTCAGCTGGCAAGGCCAGCCACGTAACTGTAAGGTCCTACCTCAGGAGTATATCAACTCTCCGGCTTTGTGTCATAATCTTATTTGGAGACATTGTTTTTTGCTTCCACAAGATATCACACCATTCCATTACATTGATGGCATTATGCTGATTGGATCCAGTGAGCAAGAGGTAGCAAGCACACTGGACTTATTGGTGAAACATTTGTGTGACAGAAGATGGGAAATAAATCTGACTAAAAGTCAGGGAACTTCTACCTCAGTAAAATACCTAGGGGTCCAATGGTGTGGGGCCTGTTGAGATATTCCTTCCAAGGTAAAGGATAAGTTTCTGCATCTGACTCTTTCTACAACCAAGAGAGAGGTACAATACCTAGTGGACCTATTTGAATTTGGGGGGCAACATATTCCTCATTTGGGTGTGTTACTTGGGTCTATTTATCAAGTGACTTAAAAGGCTGCCAGTTTTGAGCAGGGTCCAGAAAAGGAGAAAGCTCTGCAACAGGTCCAGGCTGCTGCGTAAGCTACTCTGCCACTTGGGCCATATGACCCAGCAGATCCAGTGGTGCTTGAGTGGCAGATAGTGATGCTGTTGAGAGCCTTAAGCAGGCTTCCATAGGTGAATTATAGCGGAGGCCTCCAGGGTTTTGGAGCAATGCCCTGCCATCTTCTGCAGATAACTACTCTCCTTTTGAGAGACAGCTCTTGGCCTGTTACTCGGCTTTGGTGGAAACTGAATGTTTTACTGTGGGTCATTAAGTTACCATGTATGGTGGTGGCACCACTCACCATCACCTCTAGTGACCCAATATCAAAATTTTAGCTTCCTGTTCCTGCGATATTAGAGGTTTTAGATCCAGACAGAGGAATGCTGCTACTAGGAGACGTAACAGTGATTCAATTAAACTGGAAGTTAATATTGCCTCCTAGACACTTTGGGCTCCTCCTACCTTTAAGTCAACAGACTTAGAAAGGAGTTACAGTGTTGGCTGGGGTGATTGAATTGGACTATCAAGATGCAATCAGTCTGTTACTCCACAGCAGAGGTTAAGGAAGAGTATGCATGAAATACAGGAAATCTATTAGGGCATCTCTTAGTATTACCATGCCCTGTGATTAAAGTCAATGGGAAACTATAAAAGCCCATTTCAGATAGGATTACAAATTGTCCAGACTCCAGAAATGACGGTTTGGGTCACTCCACCAAGAAAAAATCTAGGAGCTGCTGAGGTGCTTGCTGAAGACAAGGGGAATACAGAATGGGCAATAGAAGAAGGTAGTCATCAATACGAGCTAAAACCACGTGACCAGCTGCAGAAATGAGGACTGTAACTGTCATGAGTACTTCCTCCTTCTTTCATTAAAAACTTGTTTGTGCATGTATACACTTGTACTAGAAAATATTTTATTTTCTTTCCTTTTTTTCTTTTCTTTCCTTATTTCATTTTATTTCCTTTTTCTTTCTCATGTGACATAACATTTATTGACTTCCTATCAGCATTTAGGTGTTATTAACTTTATGTAATAGTATTTGGATTGGGGATTTGTGGGTTTCTGGTTATATGAAAGATAGTTGTATTACGTTAGGCATAATTATGACCTCATTATTGTCTTTATTTAAAGATTATGTATGATCTAAGGAGATGTGTATGGGTTCAAATTGACAAGGGTTGGACTTGAGATGATTAATACTGAGTGTCAACTTGATTGGATTGAGGGACATAAAGTATTAATCCTGGGTGTGTCAGTGTGGGTATTGTCAAAAGAAATTAACATTTGAGTCAGTGGGCTGGGGAAAGCCGACCACGCATAATCTGGTGGGCACAATCTAATCAGCTTCTAGCAAATATAAGGCAGGCAGAAAAACGTGAAAAGAAGAGAGTGGCCTAGACTCCCAGCCTATATCTTTCTTCTGTGCTGGATGCTTCCTGCCCTTAAACATCAGACTCCAAGTTTTTCAGTTTTGGGACTTGCACTGGCTCTCCTTGCTCTTTAGCTTGCAGACAGCCTATTGTAGTACCTTGTGATTGTGTAAGTTAATACTTAATAAACTCCTATATATATATATGTGTGTGTGTATATATATATGTGTATATATATATGTGTGTATATATATGTGTATATATATATGTACACACACACACATATATGTAGCATGTGCACTGAATTTTTGCTCGCATTTGTAAGTGAGAATATGCAGTATTTGGTTTTCTGTTTCTGCATGAATTCACTTAGTATAATCGCCTCCACTTCCATTCATGTCGCTGCAAAGGCCAATATCTCATTTTTTATAGCTGCATTGTATTCTATGGTGAATATACACCATATTTTCTTTGTCCAAGCCACCCCTGATGGGCATCTAGGTGGATTTCACGTCTTTGCTATTGTGACTAGTGCTGTGATGAACATATGAGTGCATGTGTCTATAACAGATGAATTTATATTACTTTGGGTATATACCCAATAATGGAATTGCTTGGACAAATGGTAGTTATAAGTTATTTGAGAAACCTCCAGGCTGCTTTCCACAGTGACTGAACTAATTTACATTCCTACTAGCAGTGTATAAGCATTCCCTTTTCTCCCCAACCTCACCAGCATCTGTCGTTTTATGATTTTTAAAAATAGCTATTCTGACTGCAGTGAATGGTTTCATATTGTGGCTTTAATTTGCTTTTCCCTAATGATTCATGATATTGAGGCTTCTTTCATAAGCTTGCTGGCTGCATGTATGTCATCTTTTGAGAAGTGTCTGTTCATGCCCTTTGCCCATTTTTTAATGGGGATGTTTGCTTTTTGATGGTTGACTTGTTTGTATTCCTTATAGATTCCGGATATTAGAACTTTGTCAGAGGCATATTTTGTCAATATTTTTCTCCCATTCTGTATGTTATTTATTTACTATTCTGATAGATTCTTTTGTTGTGCAGACACTCTTTAATTTAATTAGGTCCCACTTGTCAGTTTTTGTTTTCATTGCATTTGCTTTTGGAGTCTTTATAATGAAGTCTTTGCCTGGGCCAATATCTAGAGTGGTATTTCCTAGACTTTCTTCTAAGTTCTAATTTAAGTTTTACATTTGAGTCTTTAATCCATCTTGAGTTGATTTTTGTGTGTAGTGAAAGGTAGAGGTCCAGTTTCAATCTTCTGGATATGGCTAATCTGTTAACCAAGTACCATTTATTGAACAGGGAGTCCTTTCCATAGTGCCTGTTTTTGTTTGCCTTATCAAAGTTCAAATGGTTGTTGGTTTACAGCTGTATTTCTGGATCTGTTTACCCCTTTCACTAGTCTATGTGTCTGATTTAGTACCAGTACCATGCTGTTTTGGTTACTGTGGCCCTGTAGTATAGTTTGAAGTTGAGCAGTGTAACACATACAGCTTTGTTCTTTTTGCTTAGTATTGCTTTGGTTGTTAAGGCCCTTTTCTGTTTTCAAATCAATTTTAGCATTTTTTTTCTAATTATATGAAAAATGTCATTCGTACTTGAAAAGAATAGCGTTGAATCTGTAAATATCATTGGGCAGCATGGTCATTTTGACAATATTTTTTCTTCCTATCCATGATCATGGAATGTTTTGCTATTTGTTTGTGTCATCCCTGATTTCTTTCAGCAATGTTGTGTAATTCTTATCGACATTTTTCACCTCCCTTGTTAGCTGTGTTCCTAGGTATTTTATTCTTTTTTTGGCTATTGTGATTGGAATTGCATTTTTTAATTGGCTCTCAGCTTGGACATTGTTGTTGTGTAGAAACACTACTGATTTTTGTACATTTTTTTTGTTTCCTGAGACTTTGCTGAAATTGTTTATCAGATCTAGGAACTTTTGGACAGAAACTATGGGGCTTTCTAGGTGTAGTATCATATTATCTGTGACTTCCTTTCTTCCTAGTTGAATATCTTTTATTTATTTTGTCTGTTTTCTCTGGATAGGCCTTCTAGTACTATGGTGAATAGGAGTGGTGACAGTGAGCACTTTTGTCTTTTCCTGGTTCTCCAGGGGAATGCTTCCAGCTTTTGTCCATTCAGTGTGGTATTGGCTTTGGGTTTTTCATAGATGACTCTTAATATTTTGAGATATGTACTTTCAGTGCCTACTTTGTTGAGGAGTAAATTATTTTATTGCCTCAAGACAACAAGTAAATTTTAATGTCCATGCAATGGCATTCTAAAATGCCATCAAAAGTGATCTAATTTTATCTCCCTCTAGTACTCCTGTCTATTCCTTCTTACAGTGCTATAGTTTAAGAAAATAAGTAGCATTTACTCACATTGAAAATATGGATTAATTTATTCTAGGACAGACTGAAAAAAAGTAGGAAAGGAAAAAGAAAGAATCCAGTCTTACAATTTCTTCACTGGAGCATTTGGTCATATCTTTATGAACATTTTTCCACAAAGCATTTTTTCCTTGCATTTGAATATCAAAATTATGGAATCACAATGTATCTTTCTTCTTCAAATGCCAGGAAAATCAGAATTTTCTTTAAAAAAACTGTTTCTGTAATTATTTAAATGTTTTCTTCCAAAGTTAATGTGATCTTAATTTGCTTAAATCTTAATGGTTTATTTTTTACCATAACTTTACCGAAATATGTTTAAAAAGTCATGACGAAGAAAGTTCTTTGCCAGCTTTCAAAGTCTGCAAAGTTCTCTGCCAACTCAGAACTTCAATCTGAGTCCTGAGCATTTCTCAGTATCTTCTCAATTTTTTTTTTATTTTTTATTTTTTATTTTTATTTTATTTTTTTTTATTATACTTTAAGTTTTAGGGTACATGTGCACATTGTGCAGGTTAGTTACATATGTATACATGTGCCGTGCTGGTGTGCTGCACCCACTAACTCGTCATCTAGCATTAGGTATATCTCCCAATGCTATCCCTCCCCCCTCCCCCCACCCCACCACAGTCCCCAGAGTGTGATATTCCCCTTCCTGTGTCCATATGATCTCATTGTTCAATTCCCACCTATGAGTGAGAATATGCGGTGTTTGGTTTTTTGTTCTTGCGATAGTTTACTGAGAATGATGATTTCCGATTTCATCCATGTCCCTACAAAGGACGTGAACTCATCATTTTTTATGGCTGCATAGTATTCCATGGTGTATATGTGCCACATTTTCTTAATCCAGTCTATCATTGTTGGACATTTGGGTTGGTTCCAAGTCTTTGCTATTGTGAATAATGCCGCAATAAACATACGTGTGCATGTGTCTTTATAGCAGCATGATTTACAGTCATTTGGGTATATACCCAGTAATGGGATGGCTGGGTCAAATGGTATTTCTAGTTCTAGATCCCTGAGGAATCGCCACACTGACTTCCACAATGGTTGAACTAGTTTACAGTCCCACCAACAGTGTAAAAGTGTTCCTGTTTCTCCACATCCTCTCCAGCATCTGTTGTTTCCTGACTCTTTAATGATTGCCATTCTAACTGGTGTGAGATGGTATCTCATAGTGGTTTTGATTTGCATTTCTCTGATGGCCAGTGATGACAAGCATTTTTTCATGTGTTTTTTGGCTGCATAAATGTCTTCTTTTGAGAAGTGTCTGTTCATGTCCTTCACCCAGCAATGGGGAAAGGATTCCCTATTTAATAAATGGTGCTGGGAAAACTGGCTAGCCATATGTAGAAAGCTGAAACTGGATCCCTTCCTTACACCTTATACAAAAATCAATTCAAGATGGATTAAAGATTTAAACGTTAGACCTAAAACCATAAAAACTCTAGAAGAAAACCTAGGCATTACCATTCAGGACATAGGCATGGGCAAGGACTTCATGTCCAAAACACCAAAAGCAATGGCAACAAAAGACAAAATTGACAAATGGGATCTAATTAAAATAAAGAGCTTCTGCACAGCAAAAGAAACTACCATCAGAGTGAACAGACAACCTACAAAATGGGAGAAAATTTTCGCAACCTGCTCATCTGACAAAGGGCTAGTATCCAGAATCTACAATGAACGCAAACAAATTTACAAGAAAAAAACAAACAACCCCATCAAAAAGTGGGCGAAGGACATGAACAGACTCTTCTCAATTTTTATTACATTAATGACTTTGTAAATTGTTGAACAAGTATTAAGAATTCACCATAGTCTTATATATTACTTAAAGTATGTTAAAATACTTCTAAAATATATAACATAAAAACTATCTTTTCCAATCACAAAGAAAAATTATTCTGCATATATATAAAAATTCCTTGTTGACTTTCTCAGAAAATTCCCATTTACATATAAATACATGTACGTATAAATATATATACGTATACATGCTGTATATATATATATGCAGCTATATTTACTAATAAAGAAATATTTTATTATACATTATATTTTTTGATCACCAAAACTTTTACCACTAACAATGACTTCTTAATATTATAGATATTTAATGTATTAATTTGTGTACAGAATAATATTTCATTTAGATATATTAAGGTAAACAAAGCTCCCATTCTGAGAAACAATTAAATTATCTCTCCCCTTTCCCCTTTTACACCAGAATAAAATGCTGTTTTGAAGGTTCCGTGTAGATGTGCTTGGATACTCCTATAGGATAAATTCATAGAAATTGAATTACTACATCAAAGTCTATATACATCTTAAATGTAATTATTTGCTCATTAATAAAATTCATTTGAGTTAAGAATATCTGATTCTCCCAAACGATGTGTGTTTTCTACGTTACAATGGCATACCAAATATTTTACACCATCTGGCTTTTAAATATCACCTACCAAATGGAACGAAACAAAAAATTATCACAGAATATTAAATAGAATCCTTCCTCCTTTGATGTTATAGCTGAGGACCAATAGCTAAGATGCTTTGTTCCAAGTTTTAATATATTACTAAGCTGTTTTTGCACTACTTCCAAAGTGATTTTACCAAATTAATATAGAGGAGGTGAGAAATTAATAAAGTCCTCTTCATATTATGATTTTGTGGGGTGGGTGGAATTTACAACCTACAACTGCAGCACAAAGAGGGCAGCTCAGAATCATTGTAATTAGAGATATATTTTTTAGGCATGAAATCTGAAACCTCAGAACTGACAAGTGAGGCAAAGGTAAGTGGCTGGCTGGCTAGAGATGACATATCAGAATCAAAAGGAACAGCTGAATTGGGATCTGTCTTTTCAGGGTTTTCAGCGTAAGGATGCTTGTGTTTTCCCAATGCCCAAGGAAACCTTCGGAAACTAATCGTGGTGGAATAAAATTTAAAGATATCTAGCCACAAAGGCTTGCCTGAAGGTGCAAAGTTGTTGCATAGAGAAAGTCTCTATGGGATTAAACTGCTGAAGGCAAGGGTAAGACAAACTGATACGTGGAATGACCACCTAGATGAGACATATCCCAAGGAAATGAATCAACCAAGAGCACCAAAATGCTTCATAGGTAACAGAGTCAGCATTAGATTTATTTCACTAAGATAATTCTGAAGCCAGATTTAAAGTAACTGAGCCATGCATATGTTTTTATGATCTTTTCTTACAAAATATTATCCTCCTGGCCCTAACACAAGAGGGACTATAAAAGCAACTATTGAGTTCAGGGGAATATAGAATTGCATAGAGAAGAAACCAGCTATAATGTCTCCTTTCTTCACTATAGACTTCTCATTTATAGTGAGAATTATGGGGTTTGGATGTTTGAAGTAAAGAATAAGAAAAATTTATCTTTATAGAATTCTTGTTTAATTTTCATGTATGTTTTTTAATGTAATTATTAATATGGAGAATATAAATTTTGCTGTTGTAATATAAAAATTTGAAAGTATGTATAAATACTCAGCTCTAATTATTTTAAATATTTTGGTGGAAGATGAAGGATATATGGTCCCAGCCACTGTTTTCCTTCCTTGGCAGGCTATATCCAATGACAGATTGTGGTGGGATATAAAGGTTCAGACATTTCAGCCCTACTAAAAGAAACTTTAAAGGCCATTCTTCCTTCAGAGTTCCCCCAAGTGATCAGTTGAAATTGTTCCAGGCCTACATTGCAGCTGAACTACTTCTTCAGTCCATTTGTGCTTTCTTCTCCTTTGCACAGGGATTGACCCTACGTGTACTTAAAATATCATGCAAGCTAAATTTTCTGTCAGAGTCTGAAATTAGAATAACTCAGTCAACAATATACACAACAGTTTGTTTAATATTAAAACAATTTTCTAATGGGGTAACTATTAATATTTTCATCTCAAGATAAGAAAACAGAAATATGTATATTCATCAATAATTAAGTAAACATGTATCTATGGTGAGTGTTTTCAAAAACTGAAGACACTGCCTTTTAAAGAAATTTTAGAAATTACTCTAGCAAACTGATCCATATACATAAGGAAACAGCAGATTTACACACATTTTTCTATGAAAAAGCATGCCTATGGAATAAGCAACATTGTTTTGTCAGATAATGCTTTTTATTTTCCTATCTTATCATTTCTGAAAAACTACACATATGTCTGTTATTATTTCAGACACTTTTTGATTTTGTGGACCTAGATCTTATTTCTCAACTTTAAAATATTTTCTTATATTTCTTACATTTTCCTTATTTCATTGCCTGCTTTCTATTACATAAATACCATCAATTAGATTTAAGACTCATTATTAGCAAGATTAACGATTTTATTCTACAGTAACTTTGAATTCCAGTAACTCCAATGATTTAAGACAGTAAAAGACTATTTTTTTGGCCCAGAAAAGTTTGCTGGAGTCTGGTGGCTCTTTTGGTTAGTTTCTTTCTTGGCAGTGACTCATGAATCTAGTTATCTTTCTTTGTATGTCTCCATCATCCTAAGATGTGATTTCCATCTCACTTTAGTATGAAAGACAACAGACAAAATATTACCCAGCCTGGAGGTAATGCATATCATTTCTGTGTGAAGTTCTTTAGCAAAAACTGGGGTCTACCTAAGTGCAAGAGGCCCAGGAAGCATAGTCTTCTGTGCTTCCTGGCAAGAGGGGCACACCAGGTGTTGATGAACACTGGTAATGCCAACAATCCTCCTCCCAGACCAACGCAATAACCAAAATGTTGATCTACTGTGTATCCTAATAGGAGTCGCATTCCAGTCAATAAGAAAATAGGGTATGATTATATTATTATGAATTATCCAACTCTCAATAAAGAAAATATTATTTTGAAATCATCATGCAGAACACAATTTTTTTTCTTTTCTATTTATATCCTAGTTATTTTTTTTTGGAGTCCAAAGATGTTTTACTCATGTTCAGAGACAGTTGAAGAAAAATTAACATATGTTACAGTAATATTGAACTTCAAATAGACCTGTGTAACATCTTTCCAAGTTGATTGTCTTCTAATAATCTTTTAGAAAGTTTCGCAGTGTTAGAACTTCTCCGAGGCAATTTGCTTACAGATTGTATATTACGTTGTGTTTTAAAAATATAGTCAAATTACAGAACATGTGTCCCAGAGACCTTTTAGTTTTCAATGCTTGTATAATTGCAATTGTGCATCTCAACAATTAGTAGTAGTTAGCATTTGGGAAAATAAAGCCTTTGATTATTCAATTTACAGGACTGAAATATTGAATTCAATTTAATATCATAAATGTGTATCAAATGTATCCTAAGTACAAAGCACCAATATTATAAAGAAGATCTACTAAAAGTATACTGTCAATTATGCTTGTTTCCCTAAAAATTTCTTACTAATGTTTCAAGATTACAGAGAAAACTCTCTATGTTTATACTTTAATATTAATTATCCACTTATATGCTGAAACATTAGAAAAAATAAAACTAACACTACATTAAGATTCAGATAGGTGTCTATTTCATTTTTTATCTAGGCTTATTTAGTGAAATGTTCTATGGCTGAGTGTATAGGATAAATACCTTAAATCTGTGCATCTCAGACACTGATTAGAATGGCTAATTTCTAAAATCACTTCCTAAGCACTGGGACTCTGTGGTTCTAACAAACCATATGTCTAGCTTTATTGCAATAATCATAGACTAAGCTCAAACTTCTATTATGGGTCAGAAGATGCCTTGGGCACATATGTTACGTATAAGAAATTCTATTATTGACTCAGCTATAGATCATTTTGATTTGGCCTGAAAACTGGGTACATTATCTTGCTCTGCTCCAGTTTCCTCAGTTGATGATCAAAGTGTTACTGTCTGATTGTCTTTCAGAGAGGACATTTTTGTCATGCTGTTAGCTCTAATAACGTATAGAAAAAAACTTGGCCAGCAATATATGGTTTCCTGCTTTACAGCTGGGCTCTCCAACAGTTCCTTCTGTTAAGGTATATTTGGGATATAGTGGGTAAATAGTAGAAACCTTATGATGGAAAGAATGGATATTAATATGATGGAAGTTAAGCAATTCCTTGACAATGATACACCTAAATAAAAAGAAGAAATATGATGACAGGCAACAGACAATGAGGTTATAGAAGACAACTGCATTGAGACAAGTGGTCAGGAAAACAAGCAAACAACGCCAACAAAAACAGGACAGAAGCTAGATCTGGATCCTGAGCATTAAGTCTGATGCTCAACAGCAGGTAAGACTTCAAAGCTTGATAGTTCATAGCTACGCTTTACTCCATCATGAAAATTGACATGCATGAATTGACTTTGATTCATAGGCATGTATTATAGCATGGTATTGCTATTATGTTTTGGATCCAAAATGTAAATGCTTGGTGTATATTTAATTTGAGCAAGAATTTGAAAAGAACAGTTGAAAACGTTAGTGAGCACTCCTCAAAGATGCCAACATTTATATTTACCTTTTTATACTGATACTGAGATTCTATAAACAAAACCACCACATGGCTTGGTGTCTTGCAGTATGTCTCAATTTAAAACTCCATTATTTTACGGGGATCTCACTGTATCTATGAGTAGCTGAAAGTCTGTGGTTACAACCTGGCCAAACATACACACTGCTGTGCCACACTGGGAATATGCCCCAAATAATAAACAAAAATATCCCATAGAAGACTAGTGAAAATTCAGAGTAAAACTAAATTACATTAAAAAACTTTTTCTCGGAGTAAAGGAAGAAGTATCACAGGCAGTTGCAAAGAGATAACAAAGATATATGCACTCAACTGGGTATGTGAGGAGGTTCTAAAAGAAAATATTCAAATTCAAATTCCAAATACTTGCATGCCAAGTTCTTATGTACCATAGTATCTGGCTGTAAATTGCCTCTTTAGTATTAAGTTTTTAAACACCCTAGATCTTCCCATCATATTCAGTATATATATATATATATTTTTTCAGTATATATATATATTCAGTATATATGCTCTATATATTCAGTACATATATATTCAGTATATATGTATATTCAGTATATATATGCAGTATATATATTCAGTATATATATATTCAGTATATATATATACTGTATATATATTCAGTATATATGCTATAAATATTCAGTATATATATTCAGTATATATGCTATATATGTATTCAGTATATATACTGAATATATATTCAGTATATATGCTATATATATTCTGTATATATATACTGTATATATATTCAGTATATATGCTATATATATTCAGTATATATATACTGTATATATATTCAGTATATATATTCAGTATATATACGGAAAATATATATATGTATATATATATGCCTGGCCTGGTTAATATATGTGTGTGTGTGTGTGTGTGTGTGTGTGTGTGTGTGTATATATATATATATATATATATATTCAGTGTGTGTATATATAAATATATATAAATATATTTGTGTATATGTATAAATATATAATATATAATATATAAATCTAAAAATATAAAAAAATAAAAAATTATATTTTATATTTTATAAATATAAAAAGTATAAAATATATAAATATAAAAAATAAAAATATATAAATATATATAAATATATAAATAAATGTATATATACATATATATTTATATACAAATATATAAATAAATGTATATATACATATATATTTATATACAAATATATAAATAAATGTATATATACATATATATTTATATATATAAATATAAATAAATGTATATATACATATATATTTATATATATATATATAAACCAGGCCAGGCATGGTAGCTTACGCCTGTAATCCCAGCACTTTGGGAGGCCAAGGTGGGAGGATCACATGAAGTCAGGAGTTCGAGACCCAGCCTGGCCAACATGGTGAAACCCCGTCTCTACTAGACATACAAAAATTAGTTGGGCATGGTGGCAGGCACCTGTAATCCCAGCTACTCAGGAGGCTGAGGCAGGAGAATCATTTGAACTGGGAGGCAGAGGTTGCAGTGAGCTGAGATCGTGCCAATGCACTCTAGCCTGGCCAACAGAGCAAGACTCTGTCTCAACAACAACAAAAAAGAAAAACCAGAGTAAGTCCTGCTCAAATAATAAGCAACTCTTTAATCAGTTCCTAATATATGTGAACAACCTGCAAAAGCCATGGAGGCAAAATTTTAGTGTGAAGCACGCAATATTGAGGGAGGGTGGACAACAAAGTGCGGTGGCACAGAGGTTTTCTAGGTTTATTATTAAAGTATATAACATAGTAATTTTTTTGTAAAAAAATAAGTGTACAGAAAATTTATGAGAAATAATGCAGCAATTAATGCATGGGAGTTTTACCTACTTTATTACTGTCTTACCATATATTCATGTACTTTATCATTGCTCCCATGCCTTTCCTCTTCTCAATCTTTCTCTCCTCTCTCCCTTCCTCCTTCTTTCTTCCTCTCCCCCCCACATTGCTCTTTCTTTCTGCACAAACACACACACACACACACACACACACACACACACAAATACACAATTCTAGAACAATCTGAGAAGTTGAAAACATTGTGGCTCTTTATCTCTAAATAGGTTAAATATGTGTTTGCTAACAGAAGGGAAATTAACACAGCAGTTATCAAACTCAGTACATTTAGAAGTAATATTTTATCTAATTTATCATCAGTCATACAATTTTGTCATTTGACTCAATAATGTTTCTCACGTTTTCCATCCATTATTGAACTAAGTCTAAAATTTGGAGTAGCATGTAGTATAATGTTGATAGAGATAAAAGGAGGTTTTGGAACTTGATGTGACATATTCCAATGTTTGTGTGCTAGGAAATCTTACTCTAATAGGCATCAGATTTTCCAACAGTCTAAATTTTTGTTTAAGGACAAACAGGTTATATGTAGATCATAACACCATAAGAGACAGAATTTAACGAAGGAGAGTGCTATTAAATGAAACTCTAAAATGTTTCCGGCTGGGCATGGTGGCTCACACCTGTAATCCCAGCACTTTGGGAGGCTGAGGATTAAGGATCACTTGAGCCCAGGTGTTCGAGAGCAGCCTGGGCAACATAGTGAGATTCTGTATCTACTAAAAAAAAAGAAAAATAGCCAGGCAAGCTGGCAAACATCTGTGGTCCCACCTGTTTCGGACACTGATATGGGCAGATTGCTTGAGCCCAGGAAGTTGAAGCTGCCATGAGCCATGATCATACCATTGCCTGGGCAACAGAGCATGATCCTGTCTCAAACAAACAAACAAACAAAAACTTTCCTCATAATGTGTATCTAGAATAACAGGAAAACACAGAAGAAAAATTACCTAACCGTATCTTTATATCTAAGATCGTTCACCATGCTTGTTTTCTCAGCATGTTGATAACTATTACATAAATTATTAATCTATTCATTAATTTAGCAAACATCCAATGAGTGCTTACTATATATTAGGCTTTTCATGGACAAACTAAGGATATGCTGATGAACTAACAGAAAAGCTCTCTGATAAGAGTAATTTAGAAGAAGGATCAGAGAAGACAGAAGGCATATGATAAATGGCACTTTATGTCTTAATAAGGAGTTCAGAATCAATTTTATTGCTAAGTAATTTATTATTTATCTAGATATAATGAGAAAAATAATTAAGGTATAGTATTATATTAAGTATATTACACTTATAATAAGTATAATATAGTTTCTATATAAGCCATTAAAAGTAGGTATATAAATAAGTATAACAATAAGCCATTAAATGATTTGAGAAGTCCAGTGTTTTAACTTCTAGAAATATAAATCTGAATATTATTTACAAAATATGTTTTAGAATGTTTGGTCAATTTACAGAAAATGTGACTCCAATTCTTCACTCTCAGCACTCCACCTTATGACCTCCTGTGTTTATCCACACTCTTTGCAACGTGTCTTTGCAGCAACTCTCATCATTTCTATTTCTCCATGCCTTTAAGCTGGTTTGGCCTTATGAGTTTTGGCTTATAGAATAGGAGTAGAGTGATAGCATCGCAGATCTGAGTCTAAGCAGTATAATCATTGTATAGTTCTGTCTCTCACTTGGACCTCAGAAATCATCCTGAGAAGATGCGCAGGATAGCCTGCTGGATGAAAAGGCACATGAATCAGAGCCTGCGGTCTAAGTTGAGGTTATCCTACATCAGCCAACAGCGAGCTGCCTGAAAGACACGTGACAGAGTCTAACCCATGACCATAAAATCCCCTCCTAGTCAAGATCATCAGAAACATCTAGTTGTTTTGTTGACTCATGAACTTTGGAAAAATCATTATTTCTTTAGCCATCAAGTTTTGGGGTAATTTGTTATTCATTAATAGCTAAGTATGGCAAAAAAAAAAAAAAGTGTTACCAAGGAAGACAGTTAGAAAGCTATTATACCAGTGGAGGCCAGTGAAGATTTTGTCATGGATTAAGAATCTTATATTAGAAATGGAGGAAAGAACAAGAACATATTTGGCATATATTTTGGAGATCAATTCTGGAGGACTTCTAGATGGCTAATGGTTTGAATGTGGATAGTGACAGTGGTTACTAAATGACATCCAAGAATTCTTTTCCATTGTTCCTTTCATTAGTAGAACTTTTTGATCATAAACGAAGGTGGAATGTTTCTGTAATATTGAAACTGGCTAAATATAACCTCAGATCAATAAGTATTATAAGGGGAAGAAAACATACTTTCTACTCATTGAAATATTTATTTCTCTGACATTTGTAATAACTTGATTACCTAATGGAAATAATTTCAGAATAATTGCTGATCATTCTAGAAAAGTTCTAGTTCGAAAACAAATTTTATGCTATTCTTTAATTTTAATTTTAACTTTGCATAAAAGCATTTTTCTACCTCTCAATTTATATGTATTTTCAAAACAAACTATTAGTAAATGATTAAATACTTGTTTAAATATGGATATTTCCTCATAGTTTCGATGTGCAATGCTACAATTTTAGTAGCATGTTGCAAATAATATGATAGTAATTTTCAGCTGCTGTTGAGTGTCAGAACTACTACTTTTTAAGGCTTTTTGTATTATGAAAGTGCAATTACCATATAATTTTTCTCTTAGTAATGAGAACAACAGAAGAAAATATATGTGAATTTTTTTTTTTTGCTGTTGTTAAAGCTGTACAAAATGTCATTCAAATTGCACATAAGCTTACACAATGTAAAAACTAAAGCAAGGATCAAGTTTTGGAAAATGCCTTTTCAGTGTTTTTAAGAATATCACAATTGCCTTTAAAGAATTCTGAAAATAATAAAAGCTGTTTAATTATGAATTAGCTATTTAATTATAAATTGATTATAACTCTGATTCAATTTTAATATCTGTGATAGTTAATTTTATGTGTCAATTTGATTGTGTTGCAGGGTGCCCAGGTATTTGGTTAGACATTACCCCGAGAGTGTCTAATATGTTGTTTGAAGGAAAGATTAACATTTGCATCTGTATACTGGGTAAAGCAGATTGCCCTTGCTCCCTAATGTGATTAAGGCTCATCCAATCCATTGAAGGTCCAACAGAACAAAAGGCTAAGAGAAAATTCACTCATTCTGTCTGTCTGTCTTAGAGCTGGGCCAATGATCTTATTCTGTCTTCAGAGTTGGACTTCAACTTGGATGAGGACATAATCAGCTCCCTGGTTTTCAGGCCTTTGGACTCAGAATAAAAGTATACCATCAATATTCTTGGGTCTAGACTTAACCTCCATAATACAATTTCTCATAAAATAAATCCCTTTAAGAAAATATGTGTGTACAAGAAAAAAAACCTGTGTGTGTGTGTTTGTGTGTGTGTACAGACAGATACACATTCTGTTGGCTCTGTTTCTCTGAAGGATCCTAACATAAGGTCTAACACTGTGTCTGACTCTTGAAATTGCTATTACTAAAAAGAGATCATTCTGAAATTTGACTATATAAAATATTATTAGTCACTGTTACATATTGCCAATGAATTTTCTTTTTGTGTTTAGCAATTAATATAAAGGATCAATTTGCTTGAATGATAATCTGTATTTGAAATTACACAGGGAACAATGTATTTTTAAGTGTTAAAATATTACCTTCCAATATTTTATTGATTTTTGTACACATGATTTTATTGGATGAGGAGCATCATCTTTTAGAATAAGGAAGCAGATTTAGGATCTCTATCTTGAGGTAGTGGAGACTAAGGCTTAAGAAGAACATTTTCACAGGGTTATGGAGAGCCCATTGTGCTGACCTTCTCAAATATTCACTGAAAGACATTTTAATCTAATTTTACAGCTAGACATAATCATAGGTAGAAGTGGAAGAGCCTGGGCTCCACTTGGCAAATTTTGTTCAATCTCTTTTATTGTCACCACAGTGTATTTTCGTAGCCTAAGACTACCCTCTGCCTCGGCATACTAACTTGTAGTATTCTCTTCTGGTCTAATAATAGTTTCGTTTGCCATATTTGTAGAGCACTACTATCAGTTAAAAAAATGCATTTCTACAATATAAATATTTATTTCTTAAAAATCAAAGATACCGCTTGTTAACATATTTTTCTCTGTCTTTACTATATACATGATATAAGAGATAATTCCAATAAAATAATCTTTGGATATCATTGACAGTGGATAATGTCTAGCTTAATAACACAAATTTTTACACATGAACACTCCTACTCCTTACCTTTTTTGAGTGCACACAGGCATGTTCAACCCACATTCTTTCGGATGACTATTCAGTGTTTGAAGACAATCATCATTTGTTACTTCATTCAACAAATTATATGCCAGGCACTTTTCTAGGTAGTGAGAGTCAGCAGTGAGTACAATATAACAGGCAAAGGACCTACATTCAACAAACTTGTACTTTGACTGACCAAAAAATAATGTCTATAAAGATGAACATTAAATCTGCTTAAGAAAAGTTAGCAATTCTGTGGCATGGGGCTGCCTTTCAGAGAGAAGGAGATTGTTAGCAGAAGGTATCTGAGCAGAGACTAGAATGGTATTGGCTTCCTCCTTGTCTTACTCCTCTCCTACCTAGCTCACTCACTAGCTACTATCTTTTTCTCTTTTTTTTAATATATATTGTACTTTAAGTTCTGGGATACATGTGCAGAACATGCAAGTTTGTTACACAAGTATACATGTGCCATGCTGGTTTGCCACACCCATCAACCCGTCATCTACATTAGGTATTTTTTTCCTAATGCTATCCCTTCCCAGCCCCCCACCCCCCAACAGGCACCAGTGTGTGATGTTCCCCTCCCTGTGTCCATGTGTTCTCATTGTTCAGCTTCCACTTATGAGTGAGGACATGTGGTGTTTGGTTTCTAGCTTCATCCATGCTCCTGCAAAGGACATAAACTCATCCTTTTTATGGCTGTATAATATTCCATGGTGTATATGTGCCACATTTTCTTTATCCAGTCTATCATTGATGGGCATTTGGGTTGGTTCCAAGTCTTTGCTATTGTGAATAGTGTCGCGATAAACATACATGTGCATGTTTCTTTATAGTAGAATGATTTATAATCCTTTGGGTATATACCCAGTAATGGGATTGCTGGGTCAAATGGTATTTCTGATTCTAGATGCTTGAGGAATCGCCACACTGTCTTCCACAATGGTTGAACTAATTTACACTCCAACATTATAAAAGCATTCGTTCCTATTTCTCCACATCCTCTCTAGCATCTGTTGTTTCCTGACTTTTTAATGATCGCCATTCTAACTGGAGTGAGACGATATCTCATTGTGGTTATGACTTGCATTTATCTAATAACCAGAGATTATGAGCTTTTTTCATATGTTTTTTGGCCGCATAAATGTCTTCTTTTGAGAAGTATCTGTTCATATCCTTCACGCACTTTTTGATGTTTTGTTTTTCTTGTAAATTTGTTTAAGTTCCTTGTAGATTCTGTATATTAGCCCTTTGTCAGATGGATAGATTGCAAAAATTAAGGGCTGGATCTCATTGTCTTAGAACATATTCCTGAGTTTTTTTCAAGGCCTTCTCTGGAAACAATAGATCATTCATTCATAACATATACTGGATCTCATTGCCTTAGAACACATTCCTGAGTTTTTTCAAGGTCTTCTCTGGAAACACTAGATCATTCTTTTCATAACATATATTGATGAATTTTTTTTCAACAGCTTATCTTGTTCACTTTGGTCTTGGCTTTCTAGCTGGCAACTTCTTTCCCTGAACCCCACTGGTGGGGGTGACAACATTTAAAATATTCAATAAGATTTATCTCTTTATAGCCCACTTATGGTTTAAAGAATATGCTCATACTCTCATTAACCCATGCCATCAATGGAAATGTAGCTAGAGCCTAATGGGCTTAAACCTTTCACACTAATTTATCTGACAAGCACAACTTCTTACTTTTAGGTCCCTCAGAAGGTGTCAAATAGTCTAGATTTTTTACCCAACAAAAGGGGTGCATATTCCAGTGTCCCCTTGAAGCCCTTCTCTTGTAGCTTGAGGTTAGGAAGAAGGCTTCAGTGCCAGAAACACATTCACTCAGGCACTCACTAAAATATATTGATGGTCTAGTAGATGACAGAAAACATTCTATATAACAGTAAACAAAACATTAAAAGAAAAAAATAGTTTTCTTCACAAACTTAGGTTTTAATCGGATATGGAGATATTTTTGGCAACTATGATAGTACAGCTTTTATTTTACTTTAATCTGTACAACTTAAACCATTAGAAAAAAATGTTTTAGAAAGTCAACTTTGTTTCTAAGCAAGTGAAATGTATATATGCTTCACACAAAACACAAAGTTCACTTGTGACATAAAGCTCAAGGATACTTCACTAATCAGTTTATATATTCCAAAAATATTAGTAAAATCTGTTTTTAGATGGTAATAGTCACAATAAAGAAACACAAAGCAGAGTATAAAAAATTATTTAATTAATTAATTAATTAATTTATTTATTTATTTATTGACGTAGTCTCTCTATGTCGCCTAGGCTTGAGTGCAGTTGCACGATCTCGGCTCACGCAACCTCCGCCTCCTGGGTTGAAGCAATTCTCCTGCCTCAGCCTCCCTAGTAGCTGGGACTACAGGCGTGCACTACCACGCCTGGCTGATATTTGTATTTTTAGTAGAGATGGGGTTTCACCATGTTGCCCGGGATGGTCTCCATCTCTTGACATCGTGATCCACCCGCCTTGGCCTCTCAAAGTGCTGGGATTATAGGCATGAGCCACCATGCCCAGAAAAGACATACTTATTGAGAAGTTGGCATTGGAATAGAGCCTAAAATGGTGCAGAACTGAGCCATGCAGGTATTTGGGGAGGAGTAATCCAGGCTGCTGAGAGAACAAAAAAATAGCTATAGACATGAACACATATCTGCAGCGCATAAGGAACAATGACTAAACAGTGTACCATATATCATAGGCCATGTTAAGGCTTTTACTAGGAGTGAGATAAGAATAGAATGGAGGATTTTGAGTAGAGAATAGCATCATCTGACCTCTCCTTTAACAATATCAGTCTAGCTGTTGTGTTAAAGGCAGATAAATAGAAACACATGTGAAAGCAAGGGAACTGGTCCATTATAATAATCCAGTAAAAAGATAATGATGGCTTGAACTAGGTTTTCAACAGATGTGTGAGAACTGGTTGGGATTTTCATGCATTTTGAAAGTAGAGACAGGAGATTTTGTTAACATACTGAATGTGAGATAAATATATATATATATAATATTGAATGTGATATATATAATTGTATATATTGCAAATATATTTTGAATGGGTTCAAAGAGGATGTGAAAATTGGAGTATAATATTTTTAAAGAAATTTGATGAAGAAAATTGGGCAATAGCTAAAGGAGAAAGTTATATATATATTGAATAGTCATAAATGATTCCATGTTTTTTTTTTTTTTTTTTTTTTTGAGATGGAGTCTCGCTCTGTCGCCCAGGCTGGAGTGCAGTGGCGCAATCTCGGCTCACTGCAAGCTCCGCTTCCCGGGTTCACGCCATTCTCCTGCCTCAGCCTCCCGAGTAGCTGGGACTACAGGCGCCCGCCACCGCGCCCGGCTAATTTTTTGTATTTTTAGTAGAGACGGGGTTTCGCCTTGTTAACCAGGATGGTCTCGATCTCCTGACCTCATGATCCACCCGCCTCGGCCTCCCAAAGTGCTGGGATTACAGGCGTGAGCCACCGCGCCCGGCCCTCCATGTTTTTATAATCTGTGCAGCTAGGAAGGTGAGGGTGAATTGTTTACTGTTATCAGAAAGACTGCAGGAAGAGCAGATTTTCTATATAATACAGGATCTTTTGGACATAAGTTTGAGATACAAAGAAACTGACAGGAGACATACAGTCAGAAATTCTATGTATATATGATTATATTTTATATATATGGAATTTGGAAGTTTATGGGAGAGTTCTGGCAGGAAACACGTATTTGGAATTATTCTCTTTACAAATGATATTAAAGCTATAAATAGGATGAGATTAATAAAGGGTTACTTGCAGATTGAAAAGTTATGATTTCCAAAGACTGAATCTGGGATATTTCAACATCAAGAAGCAAATAATCAAAGAGGAAACTTTAAAGGAGACAAAGAATAAGTGGTCAGTAGGATAAGAGGAAAGTCTTGAGAGTATTGTTCTGAAATCCAGTGGAAAAAAATATGTAGGTACATGTGTATAGAAATCACTAATACTTTTGGGTTTCTCAGTCTCCTTGTATTTCCTTAGTTGTTTTCTTAATATTTAAATATTTATCTATCTACCTATCCCTCCATAGATATAGATATACCTTTCTGTATATATAGTGAGAGAGCAATCATTTTAAGGAATCTATTTAAATGAATGTATGAATGAATGCATTTCTGGCCCTGCATGCTTCCCTCTTACCTCAACCTATGAGAGAAGGACTTCAAAGGACGACTGCAATATGCACCCATTTTGTTGGGTGAGAAATCTGCACTCTTTGACCTCTCTGTCTCTCTCTGTCTCTCTGTCTCTATCATCTATCTATCTATCTACCTACCTAACAACTGGGCAAATACAAGGAGGACTAAGAAATTGCTAATACATTTTGCAACAAGTAGGGCATTCTTATTATTGCTGAGGAAATATTGAAGTATTGCAAATATGTTTTGAGTGGGTTTAAAGAATATGGGATGTGAACATTGGAGTCTAATATTCGTCTTCTTCTTTTTTTTTTTTTTTTAGATGAAGTTTTGCTCTTGTTGCCCAGGCTGGAGTGCAATGGCACCATCTTGGCTCACCGCAACCTCCACCTCCTGGGTCCAAGCAATTCTTCTGCCTCAGCCTCTCGAGTAGCTGGGATTACAGGCATACACCACCATGCCTGGCTATTTGTTTGTATTTTTAGTAGAGACAGGGTTTTTCCATGTTGGTCAGGCTGGTCTCGAACTCCCAACCTCAGGTGATCCTCCTGCCTCTGCCTCCCAAAGTGCTGGTATTACAGGCATGAGCCACCAAGCCTGGCCGGGGTATAATATTCTTAAAGAGATTTGAAGAAGAAAATGGTCAATAGCTAAAAAAGAAAGTAGCATCAAAGGAGACTTTTGTAAAACTACGGGATTTTTAAAAGGTTTTTAAGCAGGACAAATTCAATACATAGAAATAAATTGACAATGCAGTTGTAAAATGGGCAGTAGGTAGGCTTTATTTACCAAGGGGAAGAATTTGCCTTGGCCTGGAGAAGGGTCAATTCTTCTTAAGTAAGGAGTTTAAGGAGTTTGAAAAAATGAGAGAATAAATACACTAGAGAAATACAGTATTTTTGTAGTCATCATTTTGGGTATTATATCTTTTTAGGTATTATATCCTTGTGAAATCTCATGATTTCCAGTCTCCTATTTTTCTAAACTTTCTCCAGGAAGGAAAAGTCCTGATAAGGATTGGTGACAGAGATGGGGTCATTTTTTGTTCCTTAGGATCAGGCTTTATTAAGAAGATTAAATATGGTTTGTATGGGTTTCTTATGATTCTATTTGTTTCCACAAGGCTTGAGGGGCATGGGAATTGAGGGTGTAGCCAAAGGGAAAAGATCCAGTGAGATTGGTTTCCCCTTTTTTTGTTCAGTGTTGTTCCAACTCAGAAAGGCTGACTGTCGTAGGAACTGGAGGAGTCACTTGAAGAATACCTGAGTAGGAGTCTCAGACAGCATCAACATACAGGAATTGGACAAAAAATTATTTATTTGCTCATTTTTTTCTTTTTACTCATCAGTGGTCAAATAGCATATTAACACATTCGTCTTTTTAAAGGATATAAAGGAGGTCTGATCATTTCCTTTTGGAGCCTAGTCCAGCATGTATTTCAGAAATTTTAAAAAAAGTCATTTATGATGTAACCAAGCTTAAATTAATATTGCTGCTTGAATGCAAAGAATCGTATTCATAAAGATGACTAGAGTCTCAACCATTGTGCACTTTTCTTACTTGGTCTGTGGGAACTTTTTGCATGTAGTGGGTGGAAACAGAATTCCAGTGTTCCTAGGCCCCTTGGTAAAACTCTATCTCAATATCACCTCTTAGCCTATGCAGACGGTTTGGAAAGACCACTTACACAATTTCAGTAAAACATCTTGTCAGATTTTTATCTGAACTTTATTTGTCCCCATCTTGATTGCTAATTAATGATTTTAAGATATTCAATTAACCTATTTTGTCCGTAACTCAAGTTAACCTATAAATGTAAAAACCTTTTGAGGTGGCATTAACCATTTTATCTGCACCTCCACCCCATCACCATATTTGGTTAACTGACAAATTCACTGATTATAATCAAGTATAGGTAACACACTATTCATGAAAAGTAATGGTGCTGGAGCTAATTTTTGGCTCTCGCTTTTTTACTTTTGATGGTACCTCTATTTCTTCCTTTACTTTCCTTTCTCAACTTCATTTCTTCCTGCTTTCATAAATCAGATAAACTTTGTTATTCCCATGAATATTTAACTGTAAATTCTATAAATTTAGGCATGCTTTTTGTTACTTAGTCCATATGAAAATTAATTGAAACTTTCAATATGTATACTAATTTAGAATTCATACTTAGAATAGAATGAAAGTAACTTAGAATATAATTCACACTTAGAATAGAATAAAAAATAACCTTTGTTGAAAGCTTAACAATCCAATACTTGCTTTTATGAAAAGAAAGAGATGAAAACAAAAAAAATTAGTTGTCCTTTGATGTTATACTACTTTTTTTTTTATTTTCCTGTGGAGAATTCATATAGAAGTGCAAGGACAACAAATTGTCAGGTTCAAATAAAAATTTATATCTTAAGATAAAAACAGGAAGCAGAATGAAACCACATACATCTTCTCAACAGAAGACCTCCTGTTGCTCTTATTGTAGGTGGTAATACTGTATGATCCAAAGGTCCCATGAATTAATTACTTTCTTGACACATTGTTGGGAACCAATTGCCAGTTTTCTTCCTTCCTAAAAGTCTTCAATGTTTGGAAAAATATGAAACTAACCATATTTTACTTTCACTTTGAAGCTCTCAAACATCTCTAAAACAAAAATGTTTTTTCTTATTATTTGACATTTTTATAAGGTCTACTATGAAATGAACTTTATTATTCTTCTAATAATATTCTACTAATCTGCCTTATTATTAAAACCAATAACATGTTTCTATAGAAACAAACAGAACTCTTGGTTTTTATCCTGATTCTTACATCACTATCTGCTCAAAGAGTCACCAAGACCCTTCAATTTCACTCCTGTACTAATTCTTGTAACTATCACATGATTTGATTTCTGTTATCACAGCCATTTCTATACTTCATTTTCTCTGTTGTTTAAGGAAATTAAAAATAATGTTATTTTATTATGATAATTATAATTGATCTTTGATTCATACTACCAATTTGGAGCCATGTATTTTGAACTATTCTGAGTGATTTTGAGATAACTCATCTCCTATTCAAAGGCTTTAAGTACTCACCAATCACTTTCCCAATTTCAGTATCTGTTCCACAAAAGTAATACAACTAGGTAATTAAAAATGGGTCTAATGGGAACCCTCCCTAGGCATTGTTTTGTTGTAAATGCTTTTCGAATAAGTGGTAAATAGGTGCACAAATAAACTCCATATAATTTAGACTTGACTGAAGTAAACATAATCAGAAAGGGTACAACTTGAAAGTATGGAATAGCTTTCATAGAAATAAAGCCACCACAAATTCTAGCTACGTTGTGAGGAACATAGGGAAGAACATTCCTATCCTATCTACCTTCTGGTTGCGCACAAATTAAGACTCAACTATTTTGCAAGCTGCTAGGTTTCTGCAAGGTGAAGTGGTAAGAACACCCCAATCCAAAGTCAGTCTTGTGTCTTATGTTTTCCACTTCCAGATTTGAGCTTTCAGTTTAAGAATGCCTACGTGACAGTGAGACAGCCAGGTGGAAAGGGTCCCCTGGAAAGACTCCAACCAGCCTGCCCACTGAGGTGGAACCTCAGGATATTCACCATGTCTGTAGGGAGTGTGGCCCCTCTTTTCCTGTGTGAAATCTGGGATTTGAATTGCTGGGCAGGAAGTGCTCTAGCAGGGACTCTGGTCTAGTGAGAGTTCCTGTTTCCCTCTTTTTTTCCATTTTCACCCAATAAAACCCTGTTTTGCTCACCCGTCAAACTGTCTGCGAGCCCACATTTTCATGGCCGTGGGACGGACAAGAACCCGTCTTCAGCTGAACTAAGGAAAGTCCTGCAACAACAGTAGGGGGAGAACCCACAAATCCAAAAGCACGTAAGACTGTTATGTAAATACTGAAGTTATCTTATGCAGAGTCAGTTATGTTGGCTCCTTAAATCCATGTGTCTTCAAGTTACTGCTGTTACTACTGTTGAGATTTCACTGTTCATAAAATTACAGTTTTAAACGTGAAACTGACATTACACTTCATTAGTAACACAGTCAAATACCAGGGAGAAAGTTAGAGGAAGGGTTTGGATTTGAGTTCATTCCACGCACAACAGATTACTTGTCTTCTTCAACTATGTCCAGTGTATTCTCAATTCTTTCCCTTCTCTTTGATTAATCTTTCTTATGTGATCTTCCCCTTATTATTCAAACATGCTTACTGAATTTCTATTAACAATAGATCATTGTATCACCTACTACAATCCAGATATTTACTGGGTGCATGGAATACATTATTTTAATCTATTGCTATATCAACCTGAAAAACTAGATATTACTATTTCAATTGTAATTAATCAAGAATTGATATTTTCAGCAAAATATCCAAAATAAAGTGGTTATATCAAATAAGTACATGGATTGGAGCTTGGGAAATAAATCCAAACTGCAGTAGAGATGTGAAGCCCTTAGCACATCTATTGTAATTGATGTCATGGGAGAGTAAGGGATCATTCAGGGAGAAGTACTAGAGAAGAGATGAGGACTGGTAACAAATCCCTGTAAAATTTCAACATTTAGGAGTCATTCATAAGAAGTGAAACAGAAAATCAAGGACCATTGACCAGAGCACAGAGTGGAGACCAGAAGAGTATGGTATCATGGAAGCCAAAAGAATAAGGTTTAAAATTGGTAAGCAATTTCAAATGCTCTGCAGATTTCAAGCAATGTAAGAATATGCGAATATATCAGTATACATTCTGAATCACCATAGTAAACTGCCTCTCCAAAATAGGTAGAATGAAAAGAAAATGAATGGAAATACAACAGCAAAAGATAATTTTTTCCAAACATTTGACAGTGGAAATGTGCACAAAACAATAAATAGACATAATTTATATATTTAATAAAGTTAGTAAAGTTGATTTAACGCATTACATGTTATACACTGCTAAAATACAAGGTACCCGTGGAACATCCCCAAGACAATCTCAATTGGTTAAAAGTTTATAGCACTCTATTTAGAAGGTCATGTCACAAGATACAAAATTAATAACAATAGTTTAAATTTCAACCATATTTAAAAGATTACATTGCATTTAAATAAATTAATTAATTACCAAATACTGATACATTTTAATGGCAAACCCCATCTGCCTCTATATATCTCTTGAGTGAAATTTAAAAATAAGTAATATTATACAGTATTTAGAAAAGACGAAAAACTTAGCACAATTCATCAAAACTAAGCAATCTCACTTGTAAATATGCATTAAAAATCTTAAAGAAAACAAATATAATTTATTAATACCTTAAAATACACATACATAAGAACTGTATATGTTTTATCTTGGTGGTTGTAAAAATAAATATTTAATCTGTTTTAAAAGTCTTCATATTTATAGTTTAAATTCAAAAAATATAGCAACCATAATTGCACAAAATCTAGATGTAAAAAAACTATTATCACGTTGAATAAAATTTCCCTTCCTAAGTGTAAATCACAATACAAGAACATAATGCTTATCAAATTAAGAATCTCCAAATGAAACCAACAGACAAGGCATATTGTTGATAGGAAAATTCCCATTTACAATATCAACAAAAAATATTCCTATCAATCTCCTTCGAAGACTAAAGTGAAGATTGACTCTATTGACATATTATTTATCCAATCCCATGCATTATTATAAAAGTGAATGCAAAATAGAAATATCAGAAAGGAGTTAAAAATGTCACTTTCAAGTACAATATGATTGTTTCTCTGGAATCCAAGAGAATCAAGTTAATAGGAAAATTTAATATTACAACATTATCAATTCTCCTATAATCATCCTCAATCATTACACAGTTTAATAAAAATTTCAAAAATATAATTTAAAATATATTTCATGTCAGTAGCCAGTGGGGAACAAGGACTAGAGTTACAAGTGTTTGTATCTGATGAGAAGACACTGGGAGGTGAAAACAGTGAGTGATATGACAAGGTCCTAAGTAGACCAGAGGTGAAAGGATCCTGAGTATAGTTAGAAAAACAAATATTATCCTATAGGAAGAATATCTTTTTTCTATGCAGAAGAAGAGATGATGTAAAATGTAGGTGACACTATGGGATTTATTGACAAAACATGATGGGAAATACAACTGCATGTCAAAATGTGCATAGATTCACATATTTTCTTCATTCAATATCCTATTAATGATGGGATCTCAAATCCCTGAGAATTATTAAAATTATTGATATTTTCTGTTGGCAAATTAGCTATAAAAAAGAAAACAGAAGTCATATCAGAAACTAAATAATTTCTAGATGTATTGAAAATGTATTATCATATCAGTTTCCTACTTTGGTCGCAAAAAATGCCACAAACTTACTGAATCACTTCAAACACCACAAATATATTATATTGCATTGCTGGCTTTCATACATCTAAAATGGGTGGGAAGGGCTTGTTTCTTCTGGAAGCTTTAGGTGAGAACCTGTT
This sequence comes from Homo sapiens, assembly GCF_000001405.40. Classification (NCBI taxonomy): domain Eukaryota; kingdom Metazoa; phylum Chordata; class Mammalia; order Primates; family Hominidae; genus Homo; species Homo sapiens. The sequence continues at coordinate 26,078,287 of NC_000005.10, read as the reverse complement.
TCCTTATCTTTTCCAGGATCTCCAGGCAGTCAACATTGCTTGGCTCCTGGATCTACGTTACCCTGACATCTGCTTCTGTCGTCGTGTCTTCTCTGACCCTGCAAATCCTGCCTTCATCTTCTGAGGCACCATTGTGATTATATCTGGCCCAACCAGATAATTCAGAATAATTTCCCCAATTCAATCCTTAACTTAGTCACCTCTACAAAAGTTCCTTTGTAAGGTAACAAATATACAGGTTATGGGAAATAGGATGTGGATATCTTTTGGGGTAAGGGACTTTATTCTACCTACTACACATATAACAACATATAAACAGGAAAACACAATGAAGGCACAGTTGTAAGATGACAGTATAGTTACATGTTTGTATTCTTGAGATGGATACAAGAACTCTTTTTAGGACTCCAATATAAGTCATATTCAAAAACCTAGTTTTCTGATAACACAAAATTCCAAAAATATGATTCTTCAGATAAGAAGCTTTTATCTCAATAGTAAGATATTCTCAATTTATGAAACAAAAGAGACTTCACCAAAAAGAAATGAAATTAATAAACAGACTAAAGTATTTGATTTCCAAATAAACCAATAATAAATTATCTGAAGGTAAAAATAATAAACAGTACTCATAAAATGCTGAATGAAATGTAAATTTGTACATGCCTAATCATGTATATTAAACTAATAATAGTTCTGATGCATTCTTCATTAATTCTAATTCCAGAAATATCATCTAAAACAACAATGGGAAGAGTAAAAGAATTTTACAGAATAATTTCTAACCAAAGAACAAAATATGAAAACTACCTTAAAAATTATAACATCCAGAAACCAAAATATTCTGCCCACATGTACAATAGTGGACATACATTTACTGGCATGGGAAGATGTTGCTGATTTTATCAAATTATACACAAAACAAACATACAATAGTTCTCTCAAGGACACAGGATAGCTACAAAGTTTCATAACCAGTCCTGGCTTTGAGTGACTATTTATTTCTTGGTCACTGAGACACTTTGTTCTATACATTAATAGGTGATGAGAAACATTGATGTTTGAAATTTTGTCAGTGAGATTGAAGCACCCTACTCTTGCCTGGAGGATCTTACTCACCAAGACAATCAGCCTTGTTTAATCCCAGTTGCAGAGCTTCAGTTCAGGGGTTCCTGGACATAACCTTCCAACATGTTTTTGTTTTGATTTGTAGTTTCCAAGTACATAGAATTCTGCTTTTTTTTGTTGTTATTGTTTGTTTGTTTTTGCCCATGCTTAGTGAGAAACTCATGGTTTCTCTGGTATTTTGATACATTCTTTTGTTGTAGTGTATCAAAAACCCCTATTTTGTCAGTGTCAGAAGCTCAGCTGAGCTGAGTGAAAGCTTCCAACATGTTATATTTTGACTTCGTAGTTTCCAAGTACATAGAACTCTGCATTTTTTTTTTTTTTTTGCCCTTGCTTAGTGAGAAACTCATGGTTTCTCTGGTGTTTTGGTACATTCCCTTGTTGTAGTGCATCAACAACCCCAATTTTGTCAGTGTCAGGAGCTCTGTTGAGCTGAGTGAAAACTGAGCTGCCAAGTGATGGAGTAGCCAACTGAAGCAAAGTTGAGCCAGAATGAAAGTAGCAGCAAAGCCTATAATCATTTATCACCATAGTATAAGCAGACAGCTAAAACCAAAGACACCAGTTCCCTCTGTTTCATGCTCCCCTATAAAACAATGTGCTGGTAGAGGGTCAGGTGGATCAGCAAAGACGTGTCGATTTTCTCACTGTTGAAGGAGCTCCAAGCAAAAGTCTCTGCCACTTTTTTGGACCTGTAGGCTGGGTGAAGGCCCACTGAATAGGTCTAGGAGTGAAAAATTACTAGATACTGAGTCAGAGTGGGGAAAAGTATCTTTAATTTTTCTCCTTTCCTCTAGTAAGAAGGCCTCACCAGAGATGTCTAAAGATGATCTCTGTCCAAGGCCTTAGACAAAGAGACCTAGGAATATGACCCCTGGGCTAGGAATGTAAATTTGTGGAAAAGCATGACTTGAGATCTTAGTCCTAAACTGCAACTCTCTTCGGGACTGCAATGCGCTAGCTGAGCATCAAGTCAGGAGTGGGAAGGGAAGCAATCTTCCCACGAAGTCTGCCAGGTGAAATCTTTGTAATTACCTATGGATGGGCCTGGAAAATCACACATCCATGTTTAAGCAGGAGCTGTACCCAGTCAGACCACAATTTTATCCCTGACATTGTTAGGTTTTCTGGTCTAGTACAGTGCATAGATGTGAATGTACACACAAACTCATATGCACACACATGTATCTAAACAAGCATCCATTCATCAACATTCTATGATGAATATCAGTGGCAGGAAATGCCATTTTTATGCTTACTCATTTATATACTCTAATGTTATCTACTGGACAAATATCATTAAGTAATATTAAACTAATAAAAGGAGAGATGTGAAATAAAAAGAAATAGAGCAAATACAAAGAAATTATCTAAAGTAATCATAACATAAATTCATTTTATAACTCCAGAGAAGACAATAAAATCATTTGCTATCTGAAATTAAATGTAATGAATTTACTTAATAAGAAGTTGTCTATGAAAATTTAGAATAATCAAAGAAATATGCTTCCTTATAAAACAAGCCCTTTTGTTAAAGAAAGCACAAGTGCTATTTGTCTCAATGTTCTTGAATAAAGAACAATGATTTTCAATAATCTTCATATTTTAAGTTTGCTAATGGAAACACATTTAAGAACATAAAGTGCATTTCAAAGTACATACACTCTACTTAAATTCTTTTTTTCCTAATACTTTAACTTCTGTAATTTGAAATATTTATAGCTATTCTTCACTTTCCATATACATGAACTCTTCCACAAAAACAAAGAGATATGAGATTTCAAAATACTATTAAAATGGCTTGGGCTATTTTAGAAAATAAAGCTAGATATATGTGTTAGCCTTTCTCTTGATTTGGCACATAAGGAAAAGGATGTCTCTGCTCTAAACTTGTACATTTCTATAAGGCTTCTTGAACCTAAAGGAATTATTTTTTGTGAGAGTTGGATCTGATTTTACATTCAAATCATTGACAACATTCTATAACAATGGCCAATCACAAAAAAGAGTTTTCAGTCAAATTATCTAACAGATCAAATTATGTTTTTCTAAATCCAACCTTATTTAGAATTAACTTCCTCCTTTATGCCTTAAAATGACCCCCCAGCTCAGACAAGACTCTCTTTATTCTAGCATGACATGGGCTCTCCTGGCTTAAAAAAACAATAAACTTGGTCTTGATTTGGATTAACTTTTCATCTTTGATTGTTTTTCTACATTTATCCTAAAATATTTATAATTTCCAATTAATATCATGAGCTTTCTATACCAAAACACTAAATAAATTATAATTTAAAAATATTTTCAACATGCCTTTGTTATTTCTGCTTTTGGGAATACAACTCTTCTTCCTCTGTTTATATACTCGTTTTGTGTTTCTTGTCATTAGGCATATCTAAACTGGCTCTCTAAGTAGGCTCATCTGGTTAGATCATTTCTTTCTCCTCCCCATGGCAGCCAGGGAGTAGATGAGGTTCATCAGTACTACTAATCCACCTCTTTTTCTTTAGGTTTTCGAATTTTGGGGATCTTTGAAGCCATTCTGTAGGGAATTGGGAGATGTAAATTAAATTTACCACATGATCAATGAATACATGAATTTCTATTTCACATAAATGAAATTTGGCTGACTGGCTTTGATTGTGGCTGCTACTGCCTGTCCCTGGAATTTGATAGAAACCTCCATGACTCTCCCTTTGTTTTCCAAATAGGCCTTTCAACTTTTAATTATTTCTCCCATGTTTACTTTTCTAAAACATTTGAGATCACATCTTATCATTTGTAATTCATTATCCCACTTGGTAGATGAAGTTGCTATTAAATACTGGATTGTAGACAAGAGAACTCTATGGGAATGTGGGGATTTAGAAATAATTCAGATAAGGCAGAAAACTATAAATACCTTGTTAATATACCAGGATAATAAATTAGCTAACCATGGCACCCAGAGGTGAAGAAAATATTTTAATTATTAACTGTGATCATTGGGAAGCAAGGGTCCATTGAGTTAAGCCTTTGCAGAGTATAGTGAAGGAGGATCTAAGCGGCTGGTTTGGGCAGTGTTTTCCAGGCAGAAGAAAACCCAAACCCACACATGCACACACACACACACATTAATAAATTACAAAATCGTTAGCTAAAATTAGGAACTAAACAAGGTTATTCCATGACAATAGAGAAGCAAACTTTCTACACTTCTAACCTCTCAGGACTGTGAGAGGTTACCTGGAAATTACATACCAATTTTGATGTGGTAGGTTGGTAAATTACAAGTTCTATTATAAGGTCTATTGGTTAATCCAAACTTGGTTTTAATGTACAGATGATAAAGAAAGGTGTAGAAATGCCTTGGTATAGTCACGATCTGTATTTATTAAGAACTTTCAAAAATATCAAACAATAAAACATAATGTCTTTATGACATTTTAGACAAAGTAGAAAAACTACTCATAGCTCTGAAAGACCAGCCCAGGGCCCCAGCTCTTACTAGCTACACAAGGACTAATGTAGATCAAAATTTCAGCACCCCTGTATAACAGGTACAGTATCCTGTATTGAGGAACTGTAAATATTGGGGAAAATAAAAATTTCAGAAGAAAAGATTATGTTTGTTATCCTCAATTGATTCAGAAAAGATTCCCATTACCAAAGATCTGATGCATTCTTTCAGTGGGGCAAAGTTTCTACCTTTGTGGAAACACTTTTGGCACATTTCTGGGTGCTGAAGAGGCTAGTGAGAGTTGCACTAATTAAAATGGACTTGTGATGATGATTTAAGCATTTTTGATGATTATGTGATCATGTCTTCCCTTTGAATTAAATAGATTGGCAATTCATGAAACTGATATCTTCTGTTAAAAATCTAACAATCAATCAATCAATTCATAACTGGCAAGTCAAAATTAAGATTGAGCCAATGTGTGGAGAATTGTGATTTCCTCCTCCAACCATCTCCTGTATTTTTTCCAATTAGAGACCCAAACCTTGCAGAATGAAATATGTTAGATTGTAGTCATCTGTCAATAGACTCGCTGTTTCTTTTTATGTGATCCCCTGCCAGTATCACCTTTCACATCTGCCTCTTCCATTGGGAAGACTAATAGACATAGCCAATAAAATACAAACAGAAGTGATCATTGTCATTTGCAGGTAAAAGTTTTAAAAGGCATTTATGATAATGGTTCTTTTTCCTGGCTACAAAAAAGTAGCATGTTCCTAAAATGGGTTTTTTTCTGAATTTGCTTCCCATGAAGAAAACAGGTAAAGCAGTACCACAGCCAACATGTAATAAGAGAAAATGAAATAAAATATTTCTATGTATATCACTTCGATTTGGGGTTTGTATGTTAATGAAGCATAACCTAGTGAAGTTTGATGGATTCCCAAATAAATTCAGATATATTTGCAGAAGAAATGTTCAATAATACCTTAAATAATATTGCTGGGTATATTTCTTTTAGCCTTATCCAAAAGGATCTCTTGATATGCCATTTAAATGTATACCAAGAAAAGTAAAACCCAGAATTTTCTGGAATACACTAGCTCTACATTATTATTTTCCAGAATTTCAAAATGTCATTGCAGCCCTATAATTAAAATTGGGACTTATTGAATTCAAGTGACTAATAGTGTTTTAAGCTAAAACTCATGGATACCCCACAAAAACCCAAAGCTAGTTTTTTTTAAATTTATTATTTACTCAATTACTCAATTTTTGAGTGTAAAATTAAAATATCTTTTGTCAGAAACTGTCAGAATTTGTTCTCTTGCTCTCTGCCTCAGCCCAGACCCTGAGGTAAGGACAATTAGGAAGATAATCTATTGAGAATGTGACCAAGAGCTTACATGAAGAGTAAAAATTGATTTTTCAAGTGAGATGGAGTTGGAGCATTTTCCAAACAGAGGAAGTAGTACTGTCAAAGAGAGTGTAAAATAAGGTAACTCCCAAAGAGTGAAAGAAGGCCAGTACTACTAGAATTGGGAAAAAGAATCATTTTATGAAATGAAAGGACAACCATGGGTCATCATTAAGACTATGGCTACATACTAAGGGCCATAAGCTTGACTGAATATATTTTAGCAACATAGTTAGACTTACATTTTGTAGTTGTCATTTCATTTGTATATTAAGAATGGGTCAGCGAGAGGCAAGAAAGTAGATTGTTAAACACATTAGTGTTCCTAACCAATCCCAGTTCCAATTCCTACACAATTGGAGTCACATGCCTGAGAAATGATGTGGGGTAAAGAGAAGCGGATAGAGTTATGAAGAGATGTTAAAGATGAGCATTAGAGAGGCACGGCAGTAGATTGGCTAAGAAGAGAAAGGACAAAGCGGGTAAAAACTAAAACTCAGGTTCCTGGATTAAAAACTTGAGGGATGGATGTCCTCTCATGCACATGCATACATGTGTGCATACACATACAACTACACACACACACACACACACACACATCTGTCTGTTTCTTACTGCTAGAGATTTCCATTTTATTACCTTGAGTTCAACTCTCTATTTTTTACATTTTATGAATTACTCTTATATTCTTCTGAATTTATAGTGTCACACGAGCCCACAGGTTGAAATCAGTTATTTTCCACCGTATATTTTTTCCTCAATTTTAAACATTTTAATGAATATCTATACACATCAAATATCCTAAAGATACAGCTTGATAAATTTTCACAAAGAAAACACATCCATGTAGCCAGTACCTTGATTAAGAAATAGAACATAAACTGAAAGCCAGATACCCCTGGAGCCTGTTTTCATTCATAACCAGCTGCCTCAAAGGTAACCGCGATTCTGACTTCTACTAGCTTTAGAAGGGTTTTTGTTTTCAAAATTTATATATGTTGAAAAAAAAGGTAGTGTGCTGGGTTTTAATTTTTTTCATGTTGTTTGTTTTTCATTATTTTCAGGCTTTAAATTTAATGTAAGTCAAGTGATTGTGCCCTATAGCACTTTGGTTCATGCTGTTGTAGGCAGGAGGCTGATTATTTCTGTGAAAATAGTAACTGAAAAACATCAGAGTGAGAGTAGAATATAAAGAGAATGAAAGACATGGGCTAAATACAAAATTATACATGGAAGGAATAGAAAATTCAAGCTAGGTTATATCTGTTTTCATAATGTTTATGCAATAAGGTTCTAATTTGTATTTAGCAAGATTGTTAATAAAATGATACCATCTTTATTTTAAATCATTGATGCAAATAATTTATTATAACATCAAATAATAATTTTAACATTTATTGCTTTTCCAGTAGCTCTTCTAAGCTCTTTAATGAGTAATTTCACATTAGGACATCAGCCTGAGAGAATGATTGCAGATTCCCCCCAACTCATAAAACATGGATATGAAATCCTCTTAAACAAAAGGCTTGATACGGGACCAATTAAGGTACTTTCCCTAGGAGTTCAGTAAATCTAGTTAGGTAGATTTATATACTCTATTTGTGAAAGGTAGAGGAAAGAGTTTTCTAAACTACTGTAGCTATTTTGTATTCCCTGAACATTTATAATCAAACCTTTAAACTCATTTCTAATATCCATTATGCTAATAAATAAGACACTTGTTTAACCGATATCAAATATTTTATCTAACATGCTAATGAGAAAACTGTTGATTGTTGAATGAAATACATTTAGCATAAGGATATTTAACATCTCAATATAAATTATGCTCTCTCTTATAAAGCTCGTTGACTAACTTCAAATGGTGCTTGTTTGATAGAATTTGTTACTTCAACAAAGAGTTGAACTTAACGTAACTGACATATATATAATGAACATTTCACATCAAAAGTTTATACCAAAGTTTATGAAGTGTATTGTCTCTAAAAGAAATTGGGATTACTATTGGAGGGAATAAACCCATATTCGTGATTATGCTATTAAAATGCAGAGTATCGTTTTAATGCCATGATCCAATTTATTTAAATAAAATTTTACTGGAATTTTAGCAAGCTTAAAGCTCTTAGAAAACATCACATTTAAACTAATTTTAAAAAGTAAAATTATTCCTTAGCTGTCATACCCAGTAGTAGAATTTCATAGAGCCAATACATATTAGAGAACTGAGATTTAATTATAACTTTTAAACTGCAAGAAGCTCATCATTTGCAAATGGGAAATTGATGAATATATTGTGAGAATATTAAATTTCAGATTATGAGTGTATATTGATTTTGAAATGTACTTTTTGGCAATTTTATCAGAGCCCATCCCAATTTTAAAACAATCTTTTGAGAAACTATTATTCTAGAAGAATAATGGCAATATCCAAAATGGCCATACATTCTGTAGAAGTACTACTCAGAAATTTCAAAAAGTAAAATTGCTATATCTCCATCATTTCTTTTCAGCCGAAGCTCATTCTTCTTTGACTTTTCTGTCTGAATTCTTGTTGTAGCAATGAATCTTAAATGTTACTGGCTCACCTACCTGAGGATAAGGATAGGTGTAAGTCACACCTTAGGAGATAAGATGATTTGTAACTGTTCCTTTAAAAATCTAGAAAGTAAAAAAGGATAATAATTTAAACTAAATAAAAAAGATATGATTGATGGTGAGAATAAGTAGTGTCTGCCTTGGGCATCACTATGATATGGATAGAGAATTTTTAGTTTCTTTGTGTGTAAAGTTACCCTGATTCTGCCTGTTTACTAATTTTAAATCTAAGATATTATTTCTGGGAACTTTATCCCTCTCATATCTTATACCATAAACTTGACAGTTACATCAGATATAGACTCTACTTCATTGCTACCCTATTTTTCCAACCTTCTACTTTTATCTTTGATCTTCAGTGTCTTGCTCTGTACTTAGTGGGCTGCTTGCTCTCCTACAAGCAATTGGAGCTCTCTACCTCTTTACTGCTCTTGCACATACTCTTGCAGCTGCTTGAAAGGACTTATCTCTCCACTCTTCATTTGACTGAATCCTACTTATCTTCCAAGTGTTCAGCCTAAATGTCACCTTCCCAGCTAGACAATCAGCGAATAATGTATCGCAGTGGGTCTCCCCGCTGACAGAATCTGAAGGTCTCTTAACCCTCTGTTATTCTCTAGCATTACAGCCTGTTTCTATCACTGTGGGTACTATGTGTGTCTATTGCAAATTATACTTTTATGCCTAAAGGGTAAATACTAAGCCTGCCATATGGAATGCAAATAATATTTTTAAATATTTATTGTGGTTATCCTTATATTCTTTTTCATTCTAGAAAATTTTAAATTACACCTTTATATGTATGTCAAAATTAAGTTTAAAAGGTAAACATTTTCAGAGGCAAAAAATTAATTGCAAGAAAATACACAATCTGGAACAAGTAACTGGATGTGAGCCTCCCCTAAGCAGGTAGATACATCTTCATTAATCATATTCAATGCATTTCGACAGCATTATCTCCACCCAGTCCACATTTCTATTTCCCATTACTAAAAACCTTGTGTACTCCATATTTCCTGAATAAAATGTCATCACCCAGTTGTTGCTCAAATGTTATATGCCCTTTGCTCACAACAATGTCACCATTTCTGGTTATAGATTATTATATTCCTCAAATGTCACTTCTTTTCTTATTCTTCCAACTCAGAAAAAAAGAGTTTTTTCCTCCCCAAAATTCCACATCATTTACCTATCATTTTAGCCTTAATCTCAGTTGGATAACTTAGCATTAAATCATGCAAAAAAACCCTAAAATTATCCTTAATTACTATTCTATGAGTACACATGTTGATTCACATTTTCTAGTGTTAACCTTAAATTTATCGACAATCCCTCCATTTTTCTACATTTTATCAGTTGCATACTCATGTTGTATTATAACTCTCAAAAGGTCTACCCACAACAATTTATGAAGGTTTCTCTTTTTTCTTTCATCTTAGCCTTCTCAAAATATCTCACAAAAGATGCCACTTTGAATATCTAAAATGCCAATGTGACAATGTCATCCATTGAAACAAAATACTTCAGGGCTTCCTAATGTCTTCAAAGAAGATCCGAGCTTTTTGATCTAGCAGATGGAGACTTTGAAATATGGTTCCAGCAGAATTTTCCCTTCTCTTTTTCCTTCATCTCATTTTTCCACTTCCATACTCCAATAACTTCAAGCTGCTTGACATTCTCTTCAACAGGTTTCCTCATTGCTGTTTCTTCAGTCTGGGACCCTTTCACCAATATTATTCTTTCATTAATTAGCTTACTGTATGACATTTCAGAGAATCTGTCCTGTCTTTTAACCTCATTCACCATAAGCTCTCCTCATAGCTGGTTCTTCACACACTCCTGTGGCACCTTGTTATTATACATATGTTTGTTGTGTGTGCCTTTTAAATATTCTACATGAATTGCATGCAGTCTCACATTTATTTGTCATTCTGCAGTTGTAAGACCTTGAGCAAGATCTCTTAGCTTCAATTCCTTCTTCTGAGATATGAGGATCATAATTGTACTTAATTAAAGGAATATTATAAAGATTTAACAAACCACTTATGACTTAAGGAATGCATCCACTAAATGACCCCTGCTTATTTTGTTGTGATTATTTGTGTCATAAATATCTTTTCCTCTCTCTCTCTCTTTCTCTCTCTCTCTCTCTCTCTCTTTCTCTCTGGAGATTACCAGCTCTTTGAAGGAATATTCATAGACTTTTATTTTGTGATCAGCACAGCATAGAACAGTGACAAACAAATATATGTATTCAAAACTTTGTTGAGTTAAACAATGAAGTGATAAAAAATATTATTTTGAAAGTATGCAGCCTTTCCACTTACTATAGTAGATTTAATTTTTGTGTGCTCTTGAGTGTTTCGCATGTATTAAACCAACTAATATATGTTAAAAAGCATGTGATATTGTCTAAAGCCTAGATATGATCTTTGCGTTTTAACAGCAATCTCTGTAGACAGTCAAATGACAGACAGTGAAAGCTGAAAACTGATCCTACAGACAAGTTTAGGGCTTCCTGTGGCTTATATCTAGTCTACTGCAGGTTTTATTCATGTTCTTGTGATGTCAGCTCTGTGATCCAAAAGAAACTTATTTTGTCAAACTTTGAAACAGTTAAAGATAATATTAAGGTGATTTGGAGGAGGAGTAGTCAATTCTTAGAGATCACATTGCATTTGTTATTTACTCATGAAAACGGATCCTATGCCATTTGCATATGATTTGCTGAGATCTGCAAGTGGAAAAGCCGTGGTGACTGTTTGACAAATTAGCCAATCTAGAGCATTTCTTAAAACGATGTGTATAGTCTAATAATCTTATACTTGTTATGGCTCAGAATTTTTCAATATGTATTTATGCATGTGAATGACAGACTTGGCTGTAGAGGAAAAGAAATGATGGGGGCAAAGGTAACCACGAAACAACATAATTTTATAAATTATAAAGCAGTGAAACAAAATGTTTTGAGAAAATAAGCAAAATTCATCATGATGAATCACTAAGTTTACTTAGAAAGTTCTTCATTTCAAATATTAATATATTTAACATCATATAGTTAACTGAATTCAATTTATTTGCTGAATGTTTCTAAGATTAATATTAAAGATATTTATTTACAGACTCTTTTAAAGATCTACCTTGTTCTGTTAACTCACATTACATATTGTACCATTCAACAAGTTTAAATTAATGCAACTCCAGAATATATTTGCTGTGGACCACAGCACCTCGGCCACCAGCAGCAGGTCACATACACCATTCACCACACAATTTCTGTAAAACCAAACAAATTTTGTAGCTCAAGTTCACTTACAATTGTAATATTAATCTTAGTGAGAAAAAATAGATGTCTTTGTGTCCCACACAGAAAACTGTTGTTGGCTTTTTTTTTTTCCTAATAAATAAGACATAAAGGAGGAAGGGATAGTCAGTCCCAGGTATCTGGGAACTTCTTATAACATTTATAAACCAAAGAATCCCAATCTCAACCACTCAGAGTGCAAACAGGAGAAGAAATTGGTGATTGAAAGAGTGTCGTGAGAATAGCTGATCAGAAAAGGATACTTGAGGGGATGTTTTAATTACTTATTTTTAAGTGATTTGTTTTATCCACAAGACCAGGGTATACTCACAGAAATCTGCCTATGGTGAAGAGGAAGAAAATAACAGTTGTATGCAGATCAAGAAACAGCTTACGTGAAATATATCAATGTTTATTCATATGGATATGTAATCCTATTAGAGCTATGCCATGATTTCAGGTAAGAGAAGAAACCTGAGTGTCAATTACTATTATTTACCAAAACTGATAGGGAGAGATCAGAGTTGAATAGATTGAAAAGAAAAAAAGAAGACAGAAAAAAAAAGAGCATCCCATGGGGTGCAATTTAGAGAAAATATTTTTTTGTTTTCCTTACCATGTTTATGGTTGTATAATTGGAAGCAGAAAACATGTTAAGGAAGTAACACTGAGGAGCAAGAAGGAGACCTACACTAGCTTCAAATACAAGGATTGTGAGAACTACAAAGCAAACTATAAAGCAAAAAGGTAAACTTTTCACTTGAATATTTGCAGGGGTAATATTATTCTCAGGGTAAAAGCATTTTTTTTTTCAATTGAGACCAGAGCCCAGAGACAGTTTTGGAAATCTGTTTCCTAGTTTTCAAGCCAAATTCCCATAAAGCAGACCTGAAACTTAGAGAAAAGTATGGTGAGGGTTGGATGAATTAAAGGGAATGACTGAAGAGAGAGGGAGCAGCAGGTTGTATGTGGCTGTTGTAATCTCTAGAAGAGCAGGATGTTAAGTCC